>NC_000012.12:32276284-32428979 GCF_000001405.40 Homo sapiens | reverse complement strand
AAGGAACATGTTCTAACCCAATGCAAGGAAGCTAAGAACCTTGAAAAAAGGTTAGAGGAATTGCTAACTAGAATAACTAGTTTAGAGAAGAACATAAATGACCTGATGGAGGTGAAAAATACAGCATGAGAACTTTGTGAAGCATAACAAGTATCCATAGCTGAATCAATCACACGGAAGAAAGGACATCAGAGATTGAAGACAACTTAATGAAATAAAGCACAAGACAAGATTAAAGAAATATGGGACTATTAAAAAGACCAAAGCTACGTTTGATTGATGTACCTGAAAGTGATGGGGAGAACTGAACCAAGTTGAAAAACACTCTTCAGGATATTATCCAGGAGAACTTCCCCAACCTAGCAAGGCAGGCCAACATTCAAATTCAGGAAACACAGAGAACACCATAAAGATACTCCTCGAGAAGAGCGACCCCAAGACACATAATTATCAGATTCTCCAAGGTTGAACTGAGGGAAAAAATGTTAAGGGCAGACAGAAAGAAAGGTTGGGTTACCCACAAAGGAAAGCCCATCAGACTAATAGCAGATCTCTCTGCAGAAACCCTACAAGCCAGAAGAAGAGTGGGGACCAACATTCAACATTCTTAAAGTAAAGAATTTTCAACTCAGAATTTCATATCCAGCCAAACTAAGCTTCATAAGCAAAGGAGAAATAAAATCCTTTACAGACAAGCAAATGCTGAGAGATTTTGTCACCACCAGGCCTGCCTTACAAGAGCTCCTGAAGGAAGCACTAAATCTGGAAAGCAACAACTGGTACCAGCCACTGCAAAAACATACCAAATTGTAAAGACCATTGATACTATGAAGAAACTGCATCAACTAATGGGCAAAATAACCAGCCAGCATCATAATGACAGGATCAAATTCACACATAACAATACTAACCTTAAATGTAAACAGGCTAAATGCCCCAATTAAAAGACACAGACTGGCAAATTAGATAAAGAGTCAAGACCCATTGGTGTGCTGTATTCAGGAGATCCATCTCACATGCAAAGACACGCATAGGCTCAAAATAAAGGGATGCAGGAATATTTATCAAGGAAATGGAAAGCAAAAAAAAGCAGGAGTTGCAATCCTAGTCTCTGATAAAACAGACTTTAAACCAACAAAGATCAAGAGAGACAAAGAAGGCCATTACATAATGGTAAAGGGATCAATTCAACAAGAAGAGCTAACTATCTTAAATATATATGCACCCAATACAGGAGCACCCAGATTCATAAAGCAAGTTCTTAGCGACCTACAAAGAGACTTAGACTCCTACACAATAATAGTGGGAGACTTTAACACCCCACTGTCAATATTAGACAGATCAAGACAGAAAATTAACAAGGATATTCAGGACTTGAACTCAGCTCTGGACCAAGCAGACCTAATAGACATCTACAGAACTCTCTACCCCAAATCAACAGAATATACATTCTTCTCAGCACCACATCTCACTTATTCTAAAATTGACCACATATTTGGAAATAAAATACTCCTCAGCAAATGCAAAAGAATGGAAATCATAACAAATAGTCTTTCAGACTACAGCGCAATCAAATTAGAACTCAGGATTAAGAAACTCACTCAAAACTGCACAACTACATGGAAACCGAACAACCTACTCCTGAATGACTACTGGGTAAATAACGAAATTAAGGCAGAAATAAATAAGTTCTTTGAAACCCATGAGAACAAAGAAACAACGTACCAGAATCTCTGCGATGCAGCTAAAGCAGTGTTTAGAGGGAAATTCATAGCATTAAATGCCTACAGGAGAAAGTGGGAAAGATCTAAAATCGACACCCTAAAATCACAATTAAAAGAACTAGAGAAGCAAGAGCAAATAAATTCAAAAGCTAGCAGAAGACAAGAAATAACTAAGATCAGAGCAGAACTGAAGGAGACAGAGAAACAAAAAACCATGAAAAAAAAAATCAATAAATCCAGGAGCTGGTTTTTTTTAAAAGATTA
Organism: Homo sapiens; assembly: GCF_000001405.40. NCBI lineage: Eukaryota > Metazoa > Chordata > Mammalia > Primates > Hominidae > Homo > Homo sapiens. The sequence goes on along the minus strand of NC_000012.12, from coordinate 32,426,991 downwards.
ACAAAATAGACCACTAGCCAGACTAAGAAAGAAGAAAAGAAAGAAGAATCAGATAGACAGAATAAAAAATGATAAAGGGGATATCACCACTGATCCCACAGAAATACAAACTACCATCAGAGAATACTATAAACACCTCTATGCAAATAAACTATAAAATCTAGAAGAAATTGATAAATTCCTGGACACATACACCCTCCCAAGACTACACCAGGAATAAGTCGAATTCCTGAATAGACCAATAATAAGTTCTGAAATTGAGGCAGTAATTAATAGACTACCAACCAAAAAAAGCCCAGGACCAGACAGAGTCACAGCTGAACTCTACCAGAGGTACAAAGAGGAGCTGGTACCATTCCTTCCGAAACTATTCCAAACAACAGAAAAAGAGGGAATCCCCCCTAACTCATTTTATGAGGCCAGCATCATCCTGACACCAAAACCTGGCAGAGACACAACAAAAAAAGAAAATTTCAGGCCAATATCCCTGATGAACATCGATGCGAAAATCCTCAATAAAATACTAGTAAACCGAATCCAGCAGCACATCAAAAAGCTTATCCACTACAATCAAATCGGCTTCATCCCTGGGATGCAAGCCTGGTTCAACATACTTAAATCAATAAACGTAATCCATCACATAAACAGAACCAACGACAAAAACCACATGATTATCTCAATATATGCAGAAAAGGCCTTCGATAAAATTCAACACCCCTTTATGCTAAAAACTCTCAATAAACTAGGTATTGATGGAATGTGTCTCAAAATAATAAGAGCTGTTTATGACAAATCCACAACTAATATTATACTGAATGGGCAAAAGCTGGAAGCATTCCCTTTGAAAACTGGCACAACACAAGGATGCCCTCTCTTACCACTCCTATTCAACATAGTATTGGAAGTTCTGGCCAGGGCAATCAGGCAAGAGAAGGAAATAAAGGGTATTCAAATAGGAAGAGAGGAAGTCAAATTGTCTCTGTTTGCACATGACATGATTGTATATTTAGAAAACCCAGCATCTCAGCTCCAAATCTCCTTAAGCTGATAAGCAACTTCAGCAGAGTCTCAGGATACAAAATCAATGTGCAAAAATCACAAGCATTCCTATACACCAATAACAGAGAGCCAAATCATGAGTGAATTCCCATTCACAACTGCTAAAGAGAATAAAATACCTAGGAATACATCTTACAAGAAATGTGAAGTTCTCCCCTTCAAGGAGAACTACAAACCACTGCTCAAGGAAATAAGAGAGGACACAAACAAATGGAAAAACATTCCATTCTCATGGATAGGAAGAATCACTATCGTGAAAATGGCCATACTGCCCGAAGTAATTTACACATTCAATGCTATCCCCATCAAACTACCACTGACTTTCTTCACAGAATTAGAAAAAACTACTTTAAATTTCATATGGAACCAAAAAAGAACTCATATAGCCAAGACAATCCTAAGCAAAAGAACAAAGCTGGAGGCATCGTGCTACCTGACTTCAAACTGTACTGCAAGGCTACAGTAACCAAAACAGCATGGTACTGGTACTGAAACAGATATATAGACTAATAGAACAGAACAGAGACCTCAGAAATAACGCCACACACCTACAACCATCTGATCTTTGATAAACCTGACAAAAACAAGCAATGGGGAAAGGATTCCCTATTTAATAAATGGGTGTTGGGAAAACTGGCTAGCCATATGCAGAAAACTGAAACTGGACTGCTTCCTTACACCTTATACAAAAAATGACTCAAGATGGATTAAAAACTTAAATGTAAGACCTAAAACCTTAAAAGCCCTAGAAGAAAACCTAAGCAATACCATTCAGGACATAGGCATGGGCAAAGACTTTATGACTAAAATACCAAAAGCAATGGCAACAAAAGCCAAAATTGACAAATAAGATCTAATTAAACTAAAGAGCTTCTGCACAGCAAAAGAAACTATCATCAGAGTGAACAGGCAACCTACAGAATGGGAGAAAATTTCTGCAATCTCTCCATCTGACACAGGGCTAATATCCAGAATCTACAAAGAACTTAAACAAATTTACAAGAAAAAAACAAACAACCCCATCAAAAAGTGGGCAAAGGATATGAACAGACACTTCTCTAAAGAAGACATTTATGCAGGCAACAAACATATGAAAAAAAGCTCATCATCACTGGTCATTAGAGAAATGGAAATCAAAACCACAGTGAGATACCATCTCACACCAGTTAGAATAGCATTCATTAAAAAGTCAGGAAACAACAGATGCTGGAGAGGATGTGGAGAAATAGGAATGCTTTTACACTGTTGGTGGGAGTGTAAATTAGTTCAACCATTGTGGAAGACAGTATGGCTATTTCTCAAAAATCTAGGACCAGAAATACTGTTTGACCCAGCAATCCCATTATCGGGCATATACCCAAAGGATTATAAATCATTCCACTATAAAGACACATGCACACATATGTTGACTGCAGCACTATTCACAATAGCAAAGACTTGGAACCAACCCAAATGTCCATCAATGATAGACTGGATAAAGAAAATGTGACACATATACACCATGGAATACTATGCAGCCATAAAAAAAGAATGAGTTCATGTCCTTTGCAGGGACATGGATGAAGCTAGAAACAATCGTCTTCAGCAAACTAACACAGGAACGGAAAACCAAACACCGCATGTTCTCACTCATATATGGGAGTTGTACAATGAGAACACATGGACACAGGGAGGGGAACATCACATACCGGGGCCTGTTAGGGGGTTGGGGGCTAGGGGAGGGATAGCATTAGAAGAAATACCTAATGTAGATGACGGGTTGATGGATGCAGCAAACCACCATGGCACGTGTATACCTATGGAACAAACCTGCATGTTCTGCACATGTATCCCAGAACTTAAAGTATAACAAAAAATAAATAAATAAATAGCAGGAAATTCTGTCATTTGCAACAGCATGGATGAACCTAGAGAACATTATGTTAAGTCAAATGAGCTAGGCACAGAAAGACAAATACAGTATGATCTCAGCTTATGTGTGGAATTTAGAAAAGTCAAATTCATGGAAGTAGAGAATAGAATGGTAGAAGTAGGGAAAAGGTGGACAAAAAGAAAAAGAAAAAAAAAAAAACACTCCCACCAGTGCCATGACAGTAAATTTACAGATGCTGGCAACTCCTGGAAATTACTCTATATTGTCTAAAAATGGGAAGAACTCTTGGTTCCAGGAACTACCAGCTTCTTTCCTGGAAAACTCATGAATAATGCATCCCTTGCTTAGCATGTGATCAAAGATAACCATAAAAATAGTCAACCAGCAGCCCATGGGGCTGCTCTGCCTATGGAGTAGCCAGCCTTTTATTTATTCCTTCACTTTCTTTCTTTTTTTTTTTTTTTTTTTGAGATGAAGTCTCACTCTGTTGCCCAGGCTGGAATGCAGTGGCGTGATCTCGGCTCACTGCAAGCTTCGCCTCCCGGGTTCAAGCAATTCTCCTGCCTCGGCCTCCCAAGTAGCTGGGATTACAGGCGCCTGCCACCACGCCCGGCTAATTTTTTGTATTTTTTAATAGAGATGGGGTTTAACCATGTTGGCCAGGATGGTCTCGATCTCCTCACCTAGTGATCTGCCCGCCTCGGCCTCCCAAAGTGCTGGGATTACAGGTGTGAGTCACCGTGCTGGCCTATTCCTTAACTTTCTTAATAAACATGATTTCACTTTACTGTCAGCTTGTTCTTGAATTCTTTCCTGGAGGAAGCCGAGAACCCATGTGGCCTCTCTGGCCGAATCCCAATTTTGGGGTTCACCCAGTAATAAACCAAAGAGTTGTTTTGTTTTTTAGACTTTAGACAAACTGGATAAAGAATATCAGGAGGAAATGATTTTTCCATTGCTAAAGATAAACAATATCCTCAAGTTCAGTGATATTAAAAAAAGGGCAATAAGAAATTTACATCAGACAGAAAAGTACAGAGATTAAGAGCAGGGGTTTAAATCGTCACTCCCCCACCTACTAGCCATGTGAACTTGGAGAAAGTATTTAAACTTTATGGGCTTCTGCTTCCTCTTCTGTACGATGAGGGTAATAGTTCCCACTCGTGATGACTAAGCAAGTTTATACATGTGGAGCACTTAGAACAGCATCTAAAATGTAAGTACTCAGTAAATAATAGCTGACTCAAGTTTATAATTAAGAAGGCTAAGGAAGTAGCAAGATATATGAAAATGATATTCATATATACTATGTTTTTAATTTAGAAAAGGGGGAGGGGAATTTGTTAGTGTATTTTCTCAGTTATATAGTCTGGGAGAGTATTTAATAAACTATTATCTAGAGGCAGTAAATACTGTGCAACTACATTTTAAAATTTAGGCCAATCTACATTTCAATGTCACATAATTTTTAAAATACTGCCAATTTAAGAAGCTCCCAATTTGGGAGGCTGAGGCGGGTGGATCACAACGTCAGGAGATCGAGACCATCCTGGCTAACATGGTGAAACCCCATCTCTACTAAAAATACAAAAAATTAGCCAGGCATGGTGGCGGGCGCCTGTAGTCCCAGCTACTTGGGAGGCTGAGGCAGGAGAATGGCGTGAACTCGGGAAGCGGAGCTTGTAGTGAACCGAGATCCCACCACTGCACTCCAGCCTGGGTGACAAAGCGAGACTCTGTCTCAAAAAAAAAAAAAAAAAAAAAAAAAAAAGCAGCTCCCAATTTGAGATGCTTCAATGTGAAAAAAAAATGCACATTTTAGATTGAATGAAATAGATTAAGAGATGGAAAACAGTAACAGCAATATTCCAAGCATCAGATGTTTTATAGTCTCATCTTTTTCTTTTTTTTTTTTTGAGACAGAGTCTCATTCTGTCGCCCACACTGGAGTGTAGTGGCATGATTTCGGCTCACTGCAAGCTCAGCCTCCCGGGTTCACGCCATTCTCCTGCCTCAGCCTCCCGAGTAGCTGGGACTACAGGTGCCCGCCACCACACCCGGCTAATATTTTGTATTTTTTTTTAGTAGAGACAGGGTTTCACCGCGTTGGCCAGGATGGTCTCGATCTCCTGACCTCATGATCCGCCTGCCTCAGCCTCCCAAAGTGCTGGGATTATAGACGTGAGCCACTGCGCCCGGCCTATAGTCTCATCTTTTTCTATACAAGCTGTGAACTAAAATCCAGTTTCTAAACATGCATAGCTGCTTTTGTTTTGCTTTTGTTGTTGTTGGTTTTTTGTTTTTTGCTTTTAAAGCAAAGCCCACTAGAGACAGCACCACATATGTGACTGGTAAGGCAACAGCAGAAGAAAGGAGTCCTTTTATCAGGAGTCTTGACCTAAAAAGCCAAGTCCTAATAATGAAAAAACAATGAGCAAAGAAAGAGGAAGAAAATGGCTGTGAAAGAAGAGAGGACAGTGGAAATGGGATATGATAGAGAAAGCTACAAGATAAAAGAAATACAGAAATTCCTGACAATGTAACAAAGCATTCTGGGGGCTTTCAGTGGAGGAGCAGCCAGATCCTACAGACCAGCATGCTCTTGAAATAAGGCCCTACGACAACATCAGAAAGGATGCCAAGAAAATTGGAACTGTTAAACTAAAAGGGACATAAAGAAAGTCCAGTCCATGAATACTCAAAGAGAACAAAAAGTATACTATTCTCTAATACACCCCAGCACAAAATTGCTACACATTGCTGATGCGAGTATATGAATGGTGTAGACACACAAGGAAAGCTGAGTACCACTGATGTTATTTAGTTTGCAAGCTGGGATTACAGGTCAGAAAGAGTTACATCTGGCATTCCATCTCCTCTATAGCAAAGCCACTAAGTCATCTAGCCTCTCCTTGAATATCCCTCATTATTAAGAAACTCATGATCACTGCAGAACCCTAATTCCACTTTCTGACAGTGTTGGTAGAAAATTCTTATGTTTGGTTGGGCATGGTGGCTAATGCTGGTAAATCCCAGTACTTTGAGAGGCCAAGGCAGAAGGATCACTTGAGCCCAGGAGTTCGAGGTTGCAGTGAGCTATGATCATGCCACCATACTCCAGTCCAGGTGAAAGAGTGGAGACCCTGTCTCTTTAAAAAAATAAAAAGTAAAAAATAATTATTACATTGAACCAAAATGTACCAACTAGTTTGGGGTTCTTCTGTTTATTCAATATCTATTGAGCCCCTGAATGGACTTTGAGAGGCCCTTGAGGAGCAATGGATGACTACAGAATTAGGGGCTATAGGGCAGACACAGAGCAAAAACAAGAAGTTTGGTGAAGAAATTGAGGTGACTGACAACAGTGAAAGCAGGAGGAATTTTTTCTAGTCAGGGAAAGCTAGAAGAGGGCTGACCTCAGGTCCCAACCAGGAGATATGTGGGTCATAAAAGATGAACAACCGTCACTTGAGTGTCACCAGGGAATCAGTAATGTGGGAGAAAGCCAGGCTTCATGCAGAAAACTGTGTGGGTCTGTGTTGAAATTCAGGTTTTAGGGAATTTTCTAAACATAAAACTGGGGTTGCTCAAGACAGCACAGAAGGAAAGACTGAGGAAAGTGGTCAGCAATAAAAGGCAGTTTTGGAAGGGGCTAGGGAGGCAAGGGCTAAGCCAGAGGGATTGAAAGGGAACGGAAAGACATGCCCGGAAGAGCTTGCACCTAGGGCAGTAACTTGTAGTAGGTGCTAGATCCTTGTAAACAAACATGATCCAATGAGACAAGCATTAGATTAGAGATACACAAAAGCTGCCACAAGGAACTGTTAGGGCATGAAAACAATACCCCAAAATACGGCACTTTGGCATGCTGAACTAAGGCAGCAGCCACAGGGGCAGAGCAAGATGATGGAATAGAAGAAGCCTACACTGTTTGTCACCCCCCTCACCCCCAGGAGGAACATCAAATTTTAACAACTAACTACATACAAAAGGCAGCCATCTCAAATAACCAAAAATCAGGTGAGCATTCACAGTAGCTGGTTTTAATTTCATATCACTGAAAGAGACATTGAAGAGAATAGGAAAGACAGTCTTGAAGTGCCAATGCCAGCCCTCCCCCTTCTCCCAGCAGTGGCCACACGTGCAGATTTTGTGCTTTTGGGAGATGGACAGCACAGCAGTTGGGAGGCTTTGCTTTGAACTCAGTGCTGCCCTGTCAGTGATAAGCAGAACCAGGCTGCACTCAGATGACATCTAACCACGGAAGGAGCATTTGGACTGGCCTTAGCCAGAGGGAAATCACCCACCATAGCAGTCAGAGCTTGAGTTCCCACAAGCCTCACAACCACAGGCCAGAGTGCTCTGGGGCCCTAAGTGGTCTTGAGGGGCAGGTTAGGCCACAAGGACTGCAATTCCTAGGCAAGCCCTAGTGCTAAGCTGGGCCCAGAGCCAGTGGACTAGAGTAGGAGGCACACAACCTACTAAGACACCAGCCAGGGTGACTAAGGGAGTGCTTCTGCCATGCCTCCCCCATCCCCAGCAGTGGCTGCGTGGTGGGGAGAAATCTGTGCATTTAGTAGAGGGAGAATGCAGTGACTGGGGCACTTTAACTTAACTCAGTGCTGCCCTGTCACAGAGGAAACCTGGCAGGATTTACCCCCTGCTGACTAAAGAGCGCCAAGGCCCTGAATTATCAACAGCACTATCCAGGTAGTATACCATAGGCACTGGGCTCTGAGACATGCTGGCTTCAGGTGTGACCCAGCACATTCCCAGCTGTGAGGGCTACAGTGAAAGACTCCTGTTTGAGAAAAGCAGGGGGAAAATAAAGGAGACTCTCTGTCTTGCACCTCAGGTATTAGCTCAGCTACAGAGGGTAGAGCAACAAGCAGACTTCTGAGGTCACTGAGTCCAGGCCTAGGCTCTTGGTCAGCATTTCTGGACCTGCCCTGAGCCAAAAGGTGAGTCCCAGAGCTGGCAGCATTGGTCACAAGCTGACGGAAGAGCCCTTAGGCTTTAAGTATCAGTGATGGCCTGGCAGAACCCCCCCATAAGCCAGTGGTGATGGCAGCCACAGGGAGAGGATCTTCTGCCCGTGGAAAGGGGAGGGAAGAGTGGGAAGCAACTTGTCTTGTGGGTCACGTGCCACCTTAACCACAGTAGAACAAAACACCAGGTAAATATCTAAGGTTTTGACTTCAATCCCTGGTGTTCTCAGACAGCATCTATGAACCAATCTGGGGCCTAGGGGAACTCACCACCCTGGAGGGAAGGGCACAAACCTGGCTGGCTTTGCCACCTGCTGACTGCAGAGTCCTAGGGCCTGGAGTAAACTTAGGTGGTAGCCAGGTAGTGGTTACACCGGGCCTTGGGCAAGATCGAGTGCTATCCTGGCTTCGGGTCTGAACCGGTACAGTCCCAGTTGTGGTGGCCACGGTGTGCTGGTGACACCCCACCCCCCAAGGTCCAGGTGGTTTAGCACAGAGAGAGACTCCATTTGTTTGGGAGAAAATAAAGGAAGAGAACAAGAGTCTCTGCTTGGTAATCCAGAGAATTCTTCCAGATCTTATCTAAGATCATCAAGGTGGTACCTCTATAAGTCGGCAAGAACCACAGAGTTATTCAGTTTGGGCCCACATCCCCTCAAATACCTGAAAAGCCTTTCCAAGAAGGATGGGCACAAACCCAGACAGTGAAGACTACAATAAATACCTAACTCTTCAATGCCCAGACATAGACAAATATCTACAAGGATGAAGACCATCCAGGAAAACATGACCTCGCCCAAAGAACTAAGGCACCAGGGCCAGGCGCGGTGGCTCACGCCTGTAATCCCAGCACTTTGGGAGGCAGAGGCGGGCGGATCACGAGGTCAGGAGATCAAGACCATCCTGGCTAACACAGCGAAACCCCGTCTCTACTAAAAATACAAAAAATTAGCCGGGCGTGGTGGCGGGCGCCTGTAGTCCCAGCTACTCGGGAGGCTGAGGCAGGAGAATGGCGTGAACCCAGGAGGTGGAGCTTGCAATGAGCCGAGATTGTGCCACTGCACTCCAGCCTGGGCGACAGAGCGAGACTCTGTCTCAAAAAAAAAAAAAAAAAAAGAACTAAGACACCAGGGACCATTCCTGGAAAAAAACAGAGATATGTGACCTTTCAGACAAAGAATTCAAAAGAGCTGTGGTAAGGAAACTCAAAGAAATTGAAGATAACACAGAGAAGGAATTGATAATTCTATCAGATAAATGTAACAAAGAGACTGAAATAACTAAAAAGAATTATGCAGAAACTAAAAATGGAATTGGCATACTGAAGAATGCATCAGAGTCTCTTATTAGCAGAACAGATCAAGCAGAAGAAAGAATTAGTAAGCCTGGCGTTGGAGACCAGCCTGGTCAACATGAGGAAATCCTATCTCTACTAAAAATACAAAAATTAGCCAGACATGGTGACATGTACCTGTAATCCCAGATACTCAGGAGGCTGAGGCATGAGAATCACTTTAACCTGGGAGGCAGAGGTTGCAGTGAGCCAAGATCGCACCATTGTACTCCAGCCTGGGTGACAGAGTGAGACTCTGTCTCAGAAAATAAATAAATAAATAACATATAATGGAGCTCCAATACATCTAGCACTTTTCAGTGGAAACCTTACAGGCCAGGAGACCTTACAGGCATGACATATTTAAAATGCGGAAGAAAAAAAAAATTTACCCTAGAATAGTGTATCCAGCAAAAATATCCTTTAAGCTTGAAGGAGAAATAAAGACTTTCCCAGACAAACAAAAGCTGAGAGATTTTGTCAACACCAGACCTGTCCTACAAAAAATGCTAAATGGTACTTCAATCAGAAAGAAAAGGACGTTAGGCCAGGCGCGGTGGCTCATGCCCGTAATTCCAACACTTTGGGAGGACGAGGTGGGTGGATCACGAGGTCAGGCGTTTGAGACCAGCCTGACCAACATGATGAAACCTCATCTCTACTAAAAATACAAAAATTAGCAGACGTGGTGGCATGCGCCTGTAGTCCCAGCTACTCAGGAGGCTGACGCAGGAGAATTGCTTGAACCCAGGAGGCGGAGGTTGCAGTGAGCCGAGATTGTGCCATTGCACTCCAACCTGGGTGACAGAGCAAGACTCCATCTCAAAAAAAAAAAAAGAAAAAGAAAAAGAAAAGGACGTTAATGAGCAATAAGAAATCATCTGAAGGTACAAAACTCACTGGTAATGGCACACAGAAAAACAGGAATATAACATGGCAATTTTTGGTGTGTGAAATACTCTTAAGTAGAAAGACTAAACCATGAACCCATCAGAAATAATAACTACAACTTTTCAAGATATAGACAGTGCAATAAGACATAAAAAGAAACAAAAGTTAAAAGGGGAGGAGAAAGTTAAAGTATATAGTTTTATTCATTTTCTTTTTTGCTTGTTTATTTCTGCAATCAGTGTTGTCATCCATTTAAAATAATGGGTTACGAGATAGTATTTGCAAACCGAATACTAATTGTTGTGTTTTATGTGTGTCCATTGTGTGCATGTCCAACGTACAATGGACACCCAAAAAATAAAAAGAAATTAAAGCGTAACATTGGAGAAAATCATCTTCACTAAAAGGAAGACAGGAAAGAAGGAAAGAAAGAAGAGAAGACCAAAAAACAACCAGAAGACAAATAAAATGGTAGGAGTAGTGCTTACCTACCAATAATAACACTGATTGTAAATCAACTAAACTCTCTAATCAAAAGACATACAGTTGGCCAGGTACAGTCGCTCACACCTGTAATCCCAGCACTTTGGGAAGCCAAGGTGAGCAGATTGCTTGAGCACGGGAGTTCAAGACCAGCCTGGGCAACACAGGGAAACCCTGTCTTTACAAAAAATACAAAAATTAGCTGGGCATGGTGGCATACACCTGTAGTCCCAGCTACTTTACTTGGAAGGCTGAAGAAAAGGATCACTTGAGCCCAGGAGGCAGAAGTTGCAGTGAGCTGAGATTGAACCACTGCACTTCGGCCTGGGTGACACACAACACAAAGACATGGAGAGGCTGAATGGATAAAAATGCAAGGCCCAATGAGCTGTTGCCTAAAAGAAACACACTTCATTTATAAAGATACAAATAGACTGAAAATAAATGAATGGAAAAAGATATTTCATGCCAATGAAAACAAAAAAAGAGCAGGAGTAGCTATACTTATATCAGATGAAATAGGTTTCAAGAGAAAAACTGTAAGAAAACACATATAACGTCACTATATAATGATAAAGGGGTCCATTCAGCAAGAGGATGTAACACCCAGATATAAAGGAAATATTATTAAGAGCTAAAGAAAGAGGCTGGGCGCGGTGGCTCACGCCTGGTGGCTCCGCATTTGGGAGGCCAATGCGGGCAGATCACGAGGTCAGGAGATCAAGACAATCCTGGCTAATACGGTGAAACCCGTCTCTACTAAAAATACAATAAATTAGCCAGGCGTGGTGGCAGGTGCCTGTAGTCCCAGCTACTCAGGAGGCTGAGGCAGGAGAATGGCGTGAACCCAGGAGACGGAGCTTGCAGTGAGCCGAGACTGTGCCACAGCACTCCAGCCTGGGTGACACAGGGAGACTCTGTCTCAAAAAAAAAAAAAAAAAAAAAAAAAAGAGAGACAGATCCCAATACAGTAATAGCTGGAGACATCTAAATCCTACTTTCAGCATTGGACAGATCTTCTAGACAGAAAATAAACAAGGAAATATCAGACTTAATCTGCAGAATAGAACAAATGAACCTAATAAGTATTTATGAAACATTTCATCCAATGGCTACAGAACATCCTCCTGAGCATATGGATCATCCTCAAGGACAGATGACATGTTAGGTCACAAAACAAGTCTTAAAACATTCAAAAAAAACTGAAATAATAGCAAGCATCTTCTCTGACCACAATGAAATAAAGCTACAAATAAATAACAAGAGGAATTTTGGAACATATACAAACGCATGGAAGTTAAATAATATGCTCCTGAATGAACAGTGGGTCAATGAAAACATTATGAAGGAAATTGAAAAATTTATTGAAACAATAATAATGGAAACACAACTACCAAAATCTATGAGATACAGTGAAAGCAGTACTAAGAAGGAAATTTACACCTATGAGGGCCTACATCAAAAAGAAGAAAAACTTCAAATAAATAACCTAACATTCATCTTAAAGAACTAGAAGAGCAAGAGCAAACCGAACCCAAAATTAGAACAAACAATAAAGATCAGAGCAGAAATAAATACATTTGAAATGAATAAAATACAAAATATCAATAAATATCATTTGCAACAGCATGGATGGAACCAGAAGTCATTATGCTAAGTGAAATAGGTCAGTCACAGAAAGACAAACTTTGCATGTTCTCACTTATTTGTGGGTGCTAAAAAAATCAAAACTGAACTCATGGAGATAGTAGAAGAATGATTACCAGAGGCTGGGAAGTGCAGCTGGGGAGGAGGGGAAATGGGGATGATTAATGAGTACAAAAAAAAATAGAAAGAATAAGTAAGACTTAGTACTTGATAGCACAACAGGGTGACTATAGTCAATAATTTAATTGGACATTTTATAACTAAAAGAGTGTAATTGGATTGTAACACAAGGATGAATGCTTCACAGGATGGTTACCCCATTTTCCACGATGTGATTATTACCCGTTGCATGCCTGTATCAAAGTACCTCATATACCCCATAAATATATACACCAACTCTATACCCACAAAAATAAATAAATAATTTTTTAAAAAAAAAAGAAGTAGGCTGGGTGCGGTGGCACACGCCTATAATCCCAACACTTTGGGAGGTCGAGGCAGGTGGATCACCTGAGGTCAGGAATTTGAGACCAGCTTGGTTAACATGGTGAAACACTGTCTCTACTAAAAATATAAAAATTAGCTGGGTGTGCTGGTGGGCGCCTGTAATCCCAGCTACTCAGGAGGCTGAGGCAGGAGAATCCCTTGAACCCAGGAAGTGGAGGTTGCGGTGAGCCAAGATCATGCCATTGCACTCCAGCCTGGTGACAGAACAAGACTCCGTCTCAAAAAAAAAAAAAAAAAGTATCCTCAAGGTCTCTCTGACCTTCGCTCCCCTATCTCTCAGTTATCTTTCTGTCCAAAAGTACAAGATGAGGCTGTTCTCTGTAGTTCCTTCATCTACCTAGAAACTGGACCCCCAAAGAATACAATTGCCTTCAATCCTGTTGACAAAAAAAAGCAAATTCTGTAAAATATTTAAGGTTTATTCTGAGCCAAACATAAGTGACCATGGTCCGAAGTACAGTCTCCAGAGGTCCAGAGAAAGCACGCCCAAGGTGGTTGGATTATAACTTGGTTTTATACATTTTAGGGAGACTTCCAGATTGTGTCAGCAGGCTGCTGCTCCCACCAGATGCATAAGCCAGTACACACAAGCTCCCAGATGACCTTGAGGGCACAAATTACATGTTCAGTTTTCCCCAAAGATGCATGCAGCACAGTCCAAAGTGTGCCTTCCTCTGAACGCTTCTCTTAGACACAACAGTGGTATTAAAATTATGCATTATATTCCCCTTTCTAGGATGAAAATTACCAATACTGCTAACATACTGGTAAGTCATTAATATGACAGCATAATTTACACAGCACATTAATATGACGGCATAATTTACACAGCACGTAAATGTTACATGTTAGCCAACTTTCTGCAGAGTAAACGAAGATCATTTTGTTAAAAGTTTTTTTTTCTATAAATAGGTTTTTGGTAATTTTTTTTATATATACTTTAAGTTCTGGGATACACGTGCAGAACGTGCAGGTTTGTTACAAAGGTATACATGTGCTATGGTGGTTTGCTGCACTTATCAAACCATCATCTACATTAGGTATTTCTCCTAAAGCTATCCCTCCCCTAGCCCCCACCCTGTTGGTAATTATTTTTAATCAAATTGGCTATAATTTAAAAAAAATTTTTTTTTGGAGACAGAGTCTTACTCTGTCACCCAGGCTGGAGTGCAGTGGCGCAATTATGGCTCCACTGCAGCCTTGATTTCCCAAACTCAAGCAATCCTCCCACTTCAGTCCCCTGAGTAGTTGGGACCACAGGCATGCACCACCATGGCTGGCTAATTAAAAAAAAAAAAAAAAAAAAAAAAATTTCTAGAAAAGGGGTCTCTGGACAGGCGCGGTGGCTCATGCCTGTAATCCCAGAACTTTAGGAGGCTGAGGCAGGCAGATCACGAGGTCTAGAGATTGAGACCATCCTGGCCAACATGGTGAAACCTCGTCTCTACAAAAAATACAAAAAATTAGATGGGTGTGGTGGAGACTGAGGCAGGAGGATCGCTTGAACCCAGGAGGCGGAGGTTGCAGTGAGCTGACATCGCGCCAATGCACTCCAGCCTGGCGATGGCGCGAGACTCCATCTCAAAACAACAACAACAAAACAAAAAGGGGACTCCCTATTGCCCAGCCGGGTCCTGAACTTCTGGGTTCAAGCAATCCTTCCACCTAGGTCTCCCAAAGTGCTGGAACACAGGTGTGGGCCACCATACCCAGCCTATAACAATTTCATAACTTCCAATTGAAGGAGCGCAAGGAATTTCCACCCCAAAACACAGCCTCCTGAGATAATGAGTATTTTGAATTAAAAGCCCTTAAAAATCAACAGGTATTAGGAATAGATTTTTCCTCTGTCTACATAAACACCAGATAGACCCAACAAAAACAATACTTTTTCCTTCTCTCCATTATCTCACAATCTACTGCAGAAAAGATGACCAAGAATGTAACCAGACCTAATCAGATCTTTCTACAAAATAACGTCTGCCTCTCGGGATCACTCCATTTCCAAAGAGAATCATTTACACATCAGTCTCTGTTCCCTCATCCATTCATTCTCCACAGTAATCAATTATTACTCAGCAGAATACCAATATTCCCTATCTCCTCTTCCCCTCTGAAATAAGATTATGTAAGTATTTGGGCCCCATTGGGATACTGGGCAATCATTCTGTGATTCTCACGTGTGCACGTTAATAAATCTGTATGCTTTTTCTCTATGTGCCTTTTTTTTTCTTTTGAGATGGAGTCTCGCTCTGTCGCCCAGTCTGGAGTTCAGTGGCGCAATCTCGGTTCACTGCAACCTCCACCTCCTGGGTTCAAGAGATTCTCCTGCCTCAGCCTCCCGAGCAGCCGGGACTGCAGGCGCCCGCCACCACACCCTGTGAATTTTTGTACTTTTAGTAAAGACAGGATTTCACCATGTTGGTCAGGCTGGTCTAGAACTCCTGACCTCAGATAATTTGCCCACCTTCGCCTCCCAAAGTGCTGGGATTACAGGCGTAAGCCACTGCACTCAACCAGTATGCCTTTTTGAGTTGATTTTTATACCGCATTGTACTTGAAATGGTAAGCAATGACCCCTCAGTATTCTTCAATTTGGGGTATCTTATAATTTATATGGTTCCACATGCTGACTTTTCACCTCCTAGCATGTGTTTGTTGTTGTTGTTGCTGTTGTGAGACGGAGTCTTGCTCTGTCGCCCAGGCTGGAGTGTGGCGGCGCGATCTCGCCTCACCGCAACCTCTGCCTCTCGGGTTCAAGCAATTCTCCTGCCTCAGCCTCCTGTGTAGCTGGGATTACAGGCGTGTGCCACCACGCCCGGCTAACTTTTGTATTTTTAGTAGAGAGGGGGTTTCACCATGTTGGTCAGGCTGGTCTCAACTCCTGACGTCGTGATCCGTCCGCCTCGGCCTCCCAAAGTGCAGGGATTACAGGCTTGAGCCACCGCGTCCCACCCACATGTTTTAAAAATACAAATGAGCGGCCGGGCGCAGTGGCTCACACCTGTAATCCTAGCACTTTGGGAGGCTGAGCCGGGTGGATTGACTGAGGTCAGGAGTTCGAGACCAGTCTGGCCAACCTGGTAAAACCCCGTCTCTACTAAAAATACAAAAATTAGCCGGGCGTGGTGGCGCGCCTGTAATCCCAGCTACACAGGAGGCTGAGGCAAGAGAATCGCTGGAACCTGGGAGGCGGAGGCTGCAGTGATCCGATATCTCACCACTGCACTCCAGCCTGGGCGACAGAGTGAGACTCTATCTCAAAAAAAAAAAAAAAAAGAAAAAAAAAAGAGTTCATTGTAAAGTCATTGTGCTTTTTAAGACTATTATTAACATGTGGCCTAAAACAAAACCCTGTCAGAGGCTCCAGGGGACAACCCCAGCCTTGCAGAGCAGGGTGGACATTTGGCATTTTGTTCAAAGTTGCACTGAGGCTCAGTGCGGTTCCCAGAACTGTGGTAGCTCCCTGGTTTCCACAGACACTGCAGTTGATGAAGGCTGACAGTTTAATTCCAATGAACGGATGTGCATGTGCGACGGGCACAGCAACTGGGTTTGTTTTCACTCTATTCTCGCTTAAGTGAGGCAATAATACAAAGTTGACTGTGGGCTCCCAGAACACTTGCTGGTGCTAATGCCTACACTGTCAACTGCAATTCAAGAACCGATGACAAATTCAAGACAATGCCCTGCAAATGATGCCAATTTCTTTTTTTTTTTCTTTTTGAGACACAGTCTCATTCCATTGCCCAGGCTGGAATACAGTGGTGTGATCACAGGTCACTGCAGCCTCAGCCTCGCCCTTTGGGACTTCAGCAATCCTCCCACCTCACCCTCCTGAGTAGCTAAGACTACGGGCCATACTGGCAATTTTTTTTTTTTTGAGACGGAATCTCGCTGTGTCGCCCAGGCTGGAGTGCAGTGGCACAATCTCGGCTCACTGCAAGCTCCACCTCCCAGGTTCACGCCATTCTCCTGCCTCAGCCTCCCGAGTAGCTGGGACTGCAGGCGCCCGCCACCAGACCCGGCTAATTTTTTGTATTTTTAGTAGAGATGGGGTTTCACCCTGTTAACCAGGATGGTCTCAATCTCCTGACCTCATGATCCACCTGCTTCGGCCTCCCAAAGTGCTGGGATTATAGGCGTGAGCCACCGCACCAGGTCCATACTGGCAAATTTCTTGACTTTTTTTTTTTTTTTTTTTGAGAGACAAGACAAGGTTTCACTACGTTACCCAGGCTGATTTTGAACTCCTAAACTCAAGCAATCCTCCCAATGTGGCCACCCAAACTGCTGGTTTTACAGATGTGAGCTACTGCGACTGGACCAAATGATGCCAAATATATTCCTGAAAACAAACATACACACAACTTCTAAAGTGTGATCAATGCATGACTAGTCTAGCTTTCATAGTTCAAATAAGACTAAATATTTGTGTGGATTTTAAAAGATATACCTATTCCAGGGGTTACTGGTAAGGTTTAACCAACAATCAATCACTAAGGCAATTATTTCTGGATCCCATCACAGACATCAGTAACAGGCAGCTGGGGAGACATGGAAGGTTTTTGACTATGGCAAAGATATGATCCATACTCAGATTTAAGAAAAATTACTGGGGGGAGGCTGGGCACAGTGGCTTACACCTGTAATCCCAGCACTTTGGAAAGCCGAGGCAGGCGGATCACCTGAGGTCAGGAGTTTGAGACCAGCCTGGCCAACAGTGAAACCCCGTCTCTACTAAAAATAGAAAAATTAACCAGGTGTGGTGGCAGGCGCCTGTAGTCCTACCTACTTGGGAGGCTGAGGCAGGAGAATCACTTGAACCTGGGAGGCGGAGGTTGCAGGGAGCGGAGATCGCACCATTGCACTCCAGCTTGGGGGACAAGAGTGAGACTTCAACTCAAAAAAAAAAAAAAGAAAAAAAAGAAAAATTACTGGGGGGAGGAAAGAGTTATATAGAATGAATAGCAACACTATTGTTGAGAAATAGGCCAAAAATAAGGCAAAAACATTCAATGTGAAATGAAGGAAAACTGATAAGAACTGGTAGCTCATTGGGTAGCAGGTAGATTCCATTTTAAAACAGAATTTGAAGCCAAACAAGAGCTAGGTTAGTAAAATTGCCAAGGAAAGTCAGGAGAAGGGGCTGGATTGCAATGTAAAAAGAAATTGTGATTTGGTGCCCTTGGAGCATTTATATTCATTAAGCAGGCCCTTGAAAACGCGGAGTAGGTATAGATACCCTCTGCTGAACCTTCCCAGAGGGCAGATGGGACCCCCAATGAAGACGAGGAGAAAGGAGAAAATGGCAAAGCCAGAGGAAGAAAGTTGAAGAACCAATGAGGTAGGAAAATCAAGATATCTCAGGTCATCAGAACCAAGAAAAGAGCTTTAAAAAGGTACAAATGTCACAGAAAAATTAAGAAGGGCTGAAAATAGGTGCTGAATGCTATTTGGGAATTCATTGCTGACCTTACAACTGCTAATCCAATGTTGTAAACACAAGCCAGTCCAAAAGAAGACAAGGAAGTGGTGAGGACGGGGTGAGAAGATGAAGAAGTGAGGGCAGCAAGGCAGATCCACACAGTAAGTTAAAGTCACTGGGAGGCAGCTCTAGAAAATTTCAAGGTTTAAAATCTAGGATGGTGAGGTCGAGGCAGGTGGATCACTTGAAGCTAGGAATTCAAAACTAGTCTGGCCAACAAGGCGAAACCCCATCTCTATTAAAAATACAAAAATTAGGCTAGGCGCGGTGGCTCACACCTGTCAACCCAGCACTATGTGAGGCCGTGGTGGGCGGATCACCTGAGGTTGAGAGTTAAGACAAGCCTGACCAACATGGGGAAACCCCGTCTCTACTAAAAATACAGAATTAGCCAGGTATGGTGGCACATGCCTGTAATCCCAGCTACTCGGGAGGCTGAGGCAGGAGAATTGCTTGAACCCGGGAGGCAGAGATTGCAGTGAGCCGAGATTGCACCATTGCACTACAGCTTGGGCAACGAGAGCGAAATTCTGTCTCAAAAAAAAAAAAAAAAAAAATTGGCTGGACATGATGGTGTGGCCTGTAATCCCAGCTATTGAGGAGGCTGAGGCAGGGGAATCGTTTGAACCTGGGAGGTGAAATTTGCAGTGAGCCAAGATGGCACCATCGCACTCCAGCCTGGGCGACAAAGCAAGGCTCTTTATCAAAACTAAATAAATAAATAAATAAATAAATAAATAAATAAATAAAGTCTAGGATTACCTCATTGGGGGTGAGGAGGGGAAAAAATAGCCTATAAATGAGAGTAAAGGGGCAAACCATGGAAGGTAACAGAGGAGAAATGTCTCTGAGGACTGGGTTTATCTGCCAGATTAGTAAAAAGGAGAGGGCTGCAATAAAGGAGTCTATAAACCAAGTCTGAAGTGACAGGTCGGTTGAGCTCACCTCAGATACCCCAGTCTGATAAAAATTGTGTATCGGCACAAATTCAGGTCTACTTCAAGAGGGAGAGGGTGGAGTTGAGACAAAAGAACAAAGTAGGAAAGACCTGTAACAGATAGAAAAAGTGCAATGAGGAGTCAAACAGAAATGAGCAAAAAGTATGCCAGAAAGTGCAGAGGGCCCAGATTATGTATTGAGGGACAATCTATAGCATTCCTTGTCTTATTCCTGCAAATCTCGGCAACCTGTCCTCAGGACCAAAGTGGGGTTTACCCATGTTTGGAAATGCACAGAAGCTTATAAACCTGGTTGTACATCAGGATCGTCTGGGCACTTGTTAAAAATACAGCTTCTTGGCCAGGCGTAGTGGCTCACGCCTGTAATCCCAGCACTTTGGGAGGCTAAGGCAGGTGGATCACCTGAGGTCAGGAGTTCAAGACCAGCCCAGCCAACATGGTGAAACCCCGTCTCTACTAAAAGTACAAAAATTAGCTGGGCATAGTGGTAGGTGCCTGTAATCCCAGCTACTCGGAAGGCTGAGGCAGGAGAATCATTTGAACCCGGGAGGGGGAGGTTGCAGTGAGCCGAGATCGTGCCATTGCACTCCAGCCTGGGGAACAAGAGTGAGACTCTGTCTCAAAAAAAAAAAAAAAAAAAAATACAGCTTCTTGGCCGGGCGTGGTGGCTCATGCCTGTAATCCCAGCACTTTGGGAGGCGGAGGCGGGTGGATCACGAGGTCAGGAGTTCAAGACCAGCCTGGCCAAGATGGTGAAACCCCATCTCTACTAAAAATACAAAAATTAGCTGGGCATGGTGGCAGGTGCCTATAATACCAGCTACTTGGGAGGCTGAGGCAGAGAATTGCTTGAACCTGGGAGGCGGAGGTTGCAGTGAGCTGAGATCACACCACTGCACTCCAGCCTGGGTGACAGAGCAAGACTCTGTCTCAAAAAAACAAAAAGCAAACAAACAAAAAAAAACAGCTTCTCTAACCCTACCCCTCAGATTCTGAGTCACTATGTCAAGGGTGTGGCTAGAGATTTTTAATTAGCAATCCCAAGTAATTCTGAAACAGCTGGTAGAATGGCATTTGGAAGCCAAGCAGATCATCAGAATTATCTAATATACTTTTTAAAAATGCAGATCCATAAGCTCCTGTCCAAACCTACTGAATCTCTCACCACATTTCACATGCATAAATTTTTTCTTTTTTTTTAAATTTTTTTGAGATGGAGTCTAGCTCTGTCACCCAGGCTGGAGTGCAGTGACACAATCTCAGCTCACTGCAAACTCTGCTCCCTCGGTTCAAGCGATTTTCCTGCCTCAGCCTTCCAAGTAGCTGGGATTACAGGCGCCCACCACCACGCCTGGCTAATTTTTGTATTTTTAGTAGAGACAGGGTTTCACCATGTTGGCCAGGCTGGTCTCAAACTCCTGACCTCAAGTGATCCGCCTGCTTCTGCCTCCCAAAGTGCTGGAATTACACACATGAGCCACTGCGCCCAGCCCCACATCCATATATTTAAATGCATCATGTAGGCTGGGCACAGTGGCTCACGCCTGTAATCCCAACACTTTGGGAGGCTGAGGCGGGCGGATCACCTGAGGTCGGGAGTTCGAGACCAGCCTACCAACAAGGAGATAACCTGTCTTTACTAAAAATACAAAATTAGCCAGGCGTGGTGGCACATGCCAGTAATCCCAGCTACTCGGGAGGATAAGGCAGGAGAATCACTTGAACCCAGGAGGCGGAGGTTGCAGTGAGTCAAGATCGCGCCATTACACTCCAGCCTGGGCAACAAGAGCAAAACTCCATCTCAAAAAATAAAATAAAATAAAAAATAAATGCATCATGTTCTAATCCTTTTTCAATCAATTTTCCAGCAAATGCGTATTTGAAAAAAAAAAGAGATTTGAGTAAGAGCAATACAAGTAAGTACTATTGATTGAATTCTGGTTCTGAACCAGAACTATATGTATGTTATCTCCCTGTAAAAGGACTGACTCCAACAGCAGGTGACCTCAGGCAGACCCCCAATCAAGTTCCCGTTCCCTCAACAAATTCCAGTTCCTCTTCTCTGTTACCAGTTAAAACCATGAACCTAGATTTCCTTCAGCAGAGAAAAGGAATGCAAGCAAGCAGGTGACTGTGGAGTAAGAGTCTCTCAATGCTCTTAGGTCCACAAGTTTACATGGCTATTCATTAAAAGACCACTGACTAGGCTGGGCGCAGTGGCTCACGCCTGTAATCCCAGCACTTTGGGAGGCCGAGGCGGGTGGATCACCTGAGGTCGGGAGTTCGAGACCAGCCTGACCAACTTGGAGAAACCCCATCTCTACTAAAAATACAAAATTAGCCAGGCATGTTGACGCTTGCCTGTAATCCCAGCTACTCGGGAGGCTGAGGCAAGAGAATTGCTTGAACCCGGGAGGCGGAGGTTGTGGTGAGCCGAGTTCACTCCATTGCACTCCAGCCTGGACAAGAGTGAAACTCCTTCTAAAAAAAAAAAAAAAAAAACCACTGACTGCTCTTTAAACTGTTCTTGGAGCCAGGCACGGTGGCTCACGCCTGTAATCCCAGCACTTCGGGAGGCTGAGGCGGGTGGATCACAAGGTCAGGAGATCGAGACCATCCTGGCTAACACGGTGAAACCCCGTCTCTACTAAAAATACAAAAAATTAGCCGGGTGTGGTGGCAGGCGATTGTAGTCCCAGCTACTCTGGAGGCTGAGGCAGGAGAATGGCGTGAACCCGGGAGGTGGAGCTTGAAGTGAGCCGAGATTGCGCCACTGCTCTCCAGCCTGGGCAACAGAGCCAGACTCCGTCTCAAAAAATAAAAATAAAAAATAAAAATAAATAAGCTGTTCTTGGAAGGAAATTCTTATAAGAAACTTTTCCTGGTTCCAATTTCAGAGCCCATCTTTAAGGAGCTTCTAAGAAGCATTAATGATATTCATGCACATGCACACCATCCATCATTTTAGTGTAAATCTTTACTTGTTTAGAACATTGTATGATTCTAATAATACTAAAGATACTTTTATTTAAAAATATAATATAGATTTTTTAATGTTACAAATAACATTAGCTCTAACATATGAATGCAAATGACCTATGGTTATTGCTTTACGTTGGGCCACTCAAAGCCCTGGAAAACCTTAAGAACAGGTGTTAACAGGCATGCAAGCACTGAAGCCAGTGACATAAGTCTGAATCCTGCCTCTGAAATTTACTAGGTGCAGGGTACTGCAATAGGACTTTCTGAAACTTTTTTTCCTTCCCTAAAATTGTAATAATACCACCTATTTTTTCAGGGTTGTTATAAGAACTAGAGGTAACATACACATAGTCCTGGTTCAGTGCCAGAATTCAATCAATAGTACTTTTTTGTATTGCTTTCACCAAAATTTCTATCCCTCTTCCCCAGAGATGAAATTAGTACTCTAGAAGTTCTCAGGATACTGGGGTATATGTTGAAAATGTGAGCATTCCAGCCATGGTGAGTACCAGAAAAAAAAAAACTGTACTTACATAGAAAGTTTACCAAGTAAATAATGTGAAAAGTCCCTCACCACAAAGCACCGAGATGCTGAATAAATTACAACAGATATTCAAATACTCAGATACAACAAATGCATGGCTGAGCTCATAACAAAATAAAGGAGGTGCCCAAAGGCAAGCAAAAAAAAAAAAGAACCCAAAACTTAAACACAAGTAACTAACTTGTAAGACCATGCTGCCCAAGAGGCAAAGTCATTGCCAGGAACCCGAAAGCCTAGGGGACTAAGAGCCTTTCAGGGGACGGAAGTTTTGGCCTTGGGTTTTCACAATAGGAAAAAGCTGAACCTGAGGCCTGGAACTAAGGTTCCATAAAAGGGAGCATTGGGCCGGGCACGATGGCTCACACCTGTAATCCCAGCACTTTGGGAGGCCGAGGCGGGCGGATCACGAGGTCATGATATTGAGACCATCCTAGCCAACAAGGTGAAACCCCGTCTCTACTAAAAATACAAAAATTAGCTGGGCATGGTGGTGTGTGCCTGTAGTCCCAGCTACTAGGGAGGCTGAGGCAGGAGAATCACTTCAGCCCAGATGGCGGAGGTTGCAGTGAGCCAAGATTGCACCACTGCACTCCAGCCTGGCGACAGGGTAAGACTCAGTCTCAAAAAAAAAAAAAAGATGGAGTTTTGCTGCGTTGCTCAGGCTGGAGTGCAGTAGCTATTCACAGGTGCAAACACAGCATACTTCATCCTCAAACTCATGGCTTGTAGTGATTCTCCTGCCTCAGCCTCCCAAGTAGCTGAGACTATAGGAGTGCACCGATTATAAGGATTGTTATCTCTGTTGTCCAGATGAAGAAACGTAGAAATTAAGAGACAGTCCAATTCACACAGCTAGCTATGGAAGAGGGACTAGAACGTGAGTGCTATATAACCCCAAAGCCTATGTCTTAATTGCTTCACCTTTCTGTTTCACTTAAATGGGGAGCTTCACATTCAGGAATACACAAAGGATGCAGTTGGTACACTTTATTATTTTTGCCAAAAAGCACAGAACTCTAAAAACAGCAGGGTTTATAACCACAGAACATGACATAACAATGCTAAATGGAATTTTCTGCCAAGTTCTTGAGTTTTCAGTTTTTGTTCCTTCTTCTTTAAGAGGGAAAGTGACATTTCAATTGAGTAATGCCTACTTTGTAATGCGTTTAAATTTTGTGGTTTTCATATATAAATATTTTCCTAGGTGCTATAGAATGAACTGGCACTTTTCAGTAACTTAAATCTGGTTTACTTTTTGATGAGGGGGAAGAACAGACTTATCTAATGATACTATTGAACTAATAGGGAGGCAGATTTGAGTCAAAGAAGAAAGCACTTTCTAAAATATTTTTTACCCTTCCCAAATTGAACAGGGTGTGGTCATCCAGTAGTTTGAGACTACTTCTCAAAACACTAGATCATTCTCCTACAGATATTACAGATTTTATCATGGTAAGGGGAATGGCTGTACCTATTAAGATAATTACTTTTCGACCCTGAAAATAGCAACAAGAATTTTGAGTTTCAGCCGGTTTACAATATCGAGACAATGTAACACACCTAGAAAAGGTAGTGCTAGGTTCTCCATTTTAAAAAAAACTGCTCTGGGTTTTCTTTGAATTAAAAAAAAAAAAAATGGTGTGTGCCTGTAGTCCCATCTACTTAAGAGACTGAGGCAGAAGGATAGCTTTGAGCCCATGAGTTCGAAGCTATAGTGAGCTACGATTGTACCTATGAATAGGCACAGCACTCTAGCCTTATCCTGGGCAACACAGTGAGACCCCATCTCTCTCTGACTCCCCTCCCCTCTCTCTCTCTCTCTCCCTCTCCCTCTCTTTTTGAGACAGGGTCTCACTCTGTTGCCCAGGCTGGAATACAGTGAAACGATCATGGCTCACTACAGCCTCCACCTCCTGAGCGCAAGCGATCCTCCCACTTCAGTCCACAAGGGGTCATTTTTTGCAGAGACGGGGTTTTGAAATGTTCCCAGGCCGGTCTCAAACTCCTGGGCTCAAGCGATCCTCCCCCTCGGTCTCCCAAAGTGCTGGGATTACAGGCGTGAGCCCCCGTGCCAAGCAATCCCGTCTCTTTAAAAAAAAAAAAAAAAAAAAAAAAAAAAATGCCTGGCCAACATGGTGAAACTCCGTCTCTACTAAAAGTACAAAAAATTAGCCGGGCGTGGTGGCGGGCGCCTGTAGTCCCAGCTACTCGGGAGGCTGAGGCAGGAGAATGGCGTGAACCCGGGAGGCGGAGCTTGCAGTGAGCCAAGATTGCGTCACTGCACTCCAGCCTGGGCGACAGAGCCAGACTCCGTCTCAAAAAAAAAAAAAAAAATGTACAAAAATTAGCTGTGCATGGTGGCAGGCACCTGTAACCCCAGCTACTCGGGAGGCTGAGACAGGAGAATCTTGAAGCCAGGAGGCAGAGGTTGCAGTGAGCCGAGATTGCGCCACTGCACTCCAGCCTGCGGGACAAGCGCAAAACTGCGTCTCAAAAAAAAAAAAAAAAAAAGAATGGAAAAGAGAAAAAGCAGAGCTACCTTACAGAAATGATTTGTAGACTGCCACAACTCCCTTTTACCCTTACTGCTAAAAGGGCACTTCCTCTTTTCCCCTACTCAATGGGTTTGTAATTTAGCCAGGTGATTTTAAGTAAAATGATAGAATAAAGAATTTGAGGCCGGATGTGGTGGCTCACATCTGTAATCCCAGCACTTTGGGAGGCTGAGGCGGGCGGATCACTTGAGATCAGGAGTTCGAGACCAGCCTGGGCAACATGGTGAAACCCCCGTATCTACTAAAAACAGAAAAATTAGTTGGGCGTGGTGGCGCATGCTTGCAATCCCAGCTACTTGGGAGGCTGAGGCAGGAGAATCGCTTGAACCCGGGAGGCAGAGGTTGCAGTGATCTGAGTTCATGCCACTGCACTCCAGCTTGGGCGACAGAGTGAGACTCCGTCTCACAAAAATAAGGAATTTGGTGCCCACTATTCTCCAACTGAAAACAGTTGATGATTAACAAATTCTGTACATTAAATAACTTGAAAACCCATTAAATAAATACCTTCGATCCAAAGTAAATCATTTTCATTTGATAAGGAAGAAAACACCCTCCCATTAATTTGAGTGAATCACACCTAAGACTGGAAGAGAGTTCAGAAACTGTTTCACACTAGTGTCCTCATTTTGAAGACAAGGAAATGAAGACCGAAGGCACTGTAATTCAGTTACTTGTTTACATATTTTCTCACCTCACAATTTCTGCCCTTATCTACTGTAGTTATATCTTTTTAATTCATCATGTTTTTCTGCTCTATGCCTACTACAAGTTCAGAACCAGGACTAAAAGGGAATTTAAAAGCTCTAATATTTATCATATTTAAATCGTCATATTTGCTTAATCAGAATGAAATGCGTGAAAGTAATTAGAATTATTTGTATTTCTGCTGCTCAAATGAGGTTTTGCCTCGTAAGCTGGTCTACATACCAGACACCTCTGGTTACCGCATAAAGGAGGGGAGGGGATTTTAAAGAAGTTTTGCAAATCAAAGAAAAAAGAAATCCCTAGTTTCAAACTCGCCTGGGGAGAAGAGAACACATTTACAAGACAGGGGAGATTACGTGGCCTTGAATAGATCGCCTTGAATAGATCACCTTGAGGACTTCTTTAAGATTCAATGAGAATTCAGAAATCAAAACACCGCATTACTGACATCTGAACCTATTAACATGAAAACAGCAATAATGATTCCGTTTTCTGATGTTAGGAACAGCTTTCCTTGCCGCTTTTCACAGTCAGCCTGGGAGTCAAGCGTCCCTTTAAGAAAATCCAGGCACTAAGAAGGTTGCTCACCACACCTAGGTTGTCAGACTTGGGCGGACACCAGCCTCCCCTTCACCGTATTAGGCCTCCACCACGGCTGCCCAAAGCAGGAATTTAGCGAAGCCGCTTAAGCTTCAGTAGCTAGAAAACTGGTCTTTTCAAATCCTAACAAAAGTTAGAGAGAAAAAGAGAATTCTACCTGTACTTTCTGAATTTTCTGAGAAGTGACCTCCAGGACAAGCTCGGCGGTAGGCGGGTTCCTGCCCAAGGTCCTCTGGGGGAAGGGACAGCATAGCTAAGGGAGTGGGTGGCCGAGCGCAGCCTTCCACAATGAACCTCCCGAACCAGTTACCTCCGCAGCGGGGGACGAGAGGGCGCACCTGCAGGGCGCTGGGAGCGCCCCTCACCCGCACCTACGCGCCGGGGCCACCCTTCCCCCGCGCCCCGAGGCGCTTACCTGTGGCTCCTGAGGGCACCTGGCCCTTGAAGGCAGCGGTCCCTACACGTCCCAGGTGCGACGCGGGCCTGCTCCAGGGCCGGGGCACCCCGGGCGGCAGGTAGGAGGGGTTGGACTTCCGCCGGATCGCCACCCGCCTGAAGTTGGAGCCGCCCTCGTCGCTCATCCTGCCGGGCTCGACCGCCGCTCCCCGACTCCTCCCGCTCCCGTCCAGCCGCGAGCGGCCCCTGGGGGGCGTCGCCTGCATGCCCAGGTTCGGCGCGACTCCGGGGGCGCCCTCTACTGCGGCGTCTCCTCAGCGAGTGCCTCCTCTCCCTCTCCTTCCCGGTACGCTCCCTCCCGGCGTCGCGGCGAGTTTGGCTGCGGCGACTCCTGCGGCAGTCGCAGCGTCTCGGTATCTGCAGCTCCCGCACTCACTCAAAGCCGCTACCGCAGCTGCCAGGCCGGGGCTGCCTCCACCCCTTCCTCTCTGGAGCCAATCGCCAGCAGGTCCCCAAGGGCGGGAGGAGAGCGCAGAGGGTTCAGCCTGTTAGCGCCGCCGCCGCCGCCGCCGCCGCCTCCTCCGGCCGGGGAAGCAGCCAAGAACTTGCTGTGCCCAGCGGAGCGCCCTGGGCGCGGCCCCGGAGCCGGAGCCGGTTCGCTCTGGCCGGCCCCGCCCTGCCGCGCCACTGCCTCGCCCTTTGGCCGAGGGGAGCCGCGCGGGCGCGCACCTGCGGCCGCACACCTGGGGTGCTGCGAGGCGGGGGCCGCGCTCACCTGCTGGCCACGCAGTGCCCTCGGGAAGAAGTCCAGCTACTCTGGACCATGTCCAGGGTGCTTGCATTCTCGCAGACCCGCACTCTGAGGGTCGCGTATGTGTCTCAAGCCGTTGTGCTGAACCCTTGATCTTATGTCCTAAAACTACCGAATAAGTATTTCAGATAAGGAAACCAAGGTGCTGAACCTACAGTGGGGTCACATAGCACTGCAGAGCTGGAGTCTCCGCACCGAAGTCTGTCCTTACTCCACTGAACTAAACATCTTGCCAGGAGTATCGGGACAGAAAATGAAATAAGAGGTGTGGAAATAAAAGAGGGGTAGAGGTTAACAATCCAAAGGTTTCCAGAAGAGCAGCAGACCCTCCATTCAGGACTTCATTAGGAATGCACTTTACAGTCCTTTTGGTTGTTTTGAGACAGGGTCTCGCTCTGTCACCAAGGCTGCAGTGCAGTGGTGTGATCATAGCTCAGTGCAGCCTCGACCTTCTGGTCTCAAGCGATTCTCCTGCCTCAGCCTCCTGAGTAGCTGAGACAACAGGGGCGCGCCACTACTGCTGGCTAATTTTTGTAGTTTTTGTAGAGATGAGGCCTCGCTATGTTGCCCAGGCTGGTCTCTAACTCTTGGGCTCAAGCAATCCTACTGCCTTGGCCTCCCAAAGCTCTGGGTTACAGGCTTGAGTCACTGTGCCCAGCCTAGAGTCCTTTTAAATTATCATGTTTTCGTTTTTAACACCAGCTAAATACTAACCTGAAGAAATGCTTTTTTGTTTGTTTTTTAGATACCGGGTCACACCCTGATCCAAGCTGGAGTGCAGTGGCCCTATCAACTCACTGCAGCCTCGACCTCCTGGGCTCAAGGGATCTTACTGCCTCAGCCCCACCACTAGCTGGAACTACAGGCCCATGCCACCACACTCAGCTAATTAGTAGTATTTATTTATTTATTTGTTTATTTATTCTTAGTGGAGATGAGGTTTTCCTAGGTCGACCAGACTGGTCTCCAATCCCTGGGCTCAAGCATTCCTCCCACCTTGGCCTCCCAAAGAGCTGGGATTACAGCCGTGAGCCACAGTGCCTGACCAAAAAAATACATTTTAAATTGACTTGCTTATCTGCATTTGAAAATTCACTATTCTAATAACAAAGAGGCTGTGTCCCAAAAATCACACAGATAGGAGGCAAAAAGCCACCATTACAAGTATCCCAGCTCAAGCCAAGTTCCCCAGCCATCACTTCCATCTTGGAAGCCACCCCGCCTTTCTTCACATGGTCATTCACCCAGGTACCATCTCCAGCCCCCTGAAGTGTAATGGTAATTCGATCTTTCTCAGCCTTTGTGAAGGGCAGTTCAACTGTTTCAGTCTCCCTGGCTGCTACCCAAATAAACGTACTCCCAAAGAGAAGGAACTAGCCCTCTAATGATTTATGCAGCCATTCAGACCTTTATTAAAAGGAGCTTTTGCTCTCTTAGGATTTATTCTCTTTCTGACAGCGGCACTGTTATCTACTGTGCCATATAGTATCAAAAGTAATTTAAACAAGTAGTTTCAAATATAAATTAAAGCAGAAAGTTTTGCCTCCATATACATAAATTAACTATAAATGCAAATTTCTAACTTAGTTTATTTGCCTCAATAAAAAGATGGTGTTGAAATCAACAATACTATAGTAGCACGTTGGCTTAGAGCAACCTTTTTCTTTTTTTTTTGAGACAGAGTTTTGCTCGTTGCCCAGGCTGGAGTGCAATGGCGCGATCTCGGCTCACTGCAACCTCCTCCTCCCGGATTCAAGGGATTCTCCTGCCTCAGCCTCCCGAGTAGCTGGATTACAGGAACCTGCCACCACACCCAGCTAATTTTTGTATTTTTAGTAGAGATGGGGTTTTCACCATGTTGGCCAGGCTGATCTCGAACTCCTGACCTCAGGTGACCCGCCCGCCTCGGCCTCCCAAAGTGCTGGGATTACAGGTGTGAGCCATCACGCCCGGCCATATTATACTTTTGTACATACCATGGTAAGATCAACAGAAGGTGACACACTGAGGCTATAAGACTATTGTGCCAATCTATAATTCTAAATTTACATCTTTCTCTAATGACACTATTGCTTTATACAAGGCTCACACATCTACTAGGCATTTGCAGTAGCCCACACAGCTCTGCATGATTAGAATTCAGCAGAGGCTGGGCACAGTGGCTCATGCCTGTAATCCCAGCACTTTGGGTAGCTGAGGCACTAGGATCGCTTGAGCCCAGGAGTTTGAGACCAGCCTGGGCAACATAGTGAAATCCTGTCTCTACAAAAAAAAAAAAAAAAAAAAAAAAAAGATAATGCAATGGCATGACCTTGGCTCACTGCAACCTCTGCCTCCCGGGTTCAAGCAATTCTCCTGCCTCAGCCTCCCGAGTAGCTGGGATTACAGGCGTGTGCCACCATGCCTGGCTAATTTTTGTATTTTTAGTAGAGGCGGGGTTTCACCATGTTGGTCAGGCTGGTCTTGAACTCTTGACCTCGTGATCCACCCGCCTCCGCCTCCCAAAGTGCTGGGATTACAGGCGTGAGCCACTGCGCCAGGCCAATTTTGTTTTTTTTTTATTAGCCGGGCATGATGGCATGCACTTGTAGTCCCAGCTACTTGGGAGGCTGAGGTAGGAGAAACAGTTGAGCCCCAGAAGTTGAGAATGCAGAGAGCCATGATTGTGCCACTGCACTCCAGCCTGGGCAAAAAAGTGAGACCTTGTCTCAAATAAATAAATTGAAAAAAAAAAAAAAGAATTAACAGAATACTCTGAAATTTTCCACGAAAAAGAGACAAACTGATAAAAGAGATAAACCTGAAGTGATATTATTTATGCAGTATTTCAAATAGTTTGTTTTCAAAGTAGACACAAATAGATACATGATAAACATTTTAGTGAGAATATTGGCAATCAAAAATATTTTTTAAAATGCAAGGTATAAACATTTTCATGGTAATAGTTTTCAATTTGTTGAGAGAAAACAGTCTCCTCATTTTTAAGTCTCCAAATTGCAAATCAAAAACGTTGTTCATGAGGCTGGTCTGAATGCAGTGATGTTTACAACAGACTGATCACAACCAGTTACCGATTTGTTTCTTCTCCACTCCCACTGCTTTCAATAACTAGCCTTAAAAAAAAAAAAAAAAAAAAACCTGGGCACGGTGGCTAATGACTGTAATCCCAATGCTTTAGGAGGCTCAGGTGGGAGGATTTCTTGAGTCCAGGAGTTCGAGACTATCCCGGGCAAGAACATGAATCCTCCTCTCTACAGGGGAAAAAAAGAAAGAAAGAAAGATTTTAACGGCATCATTATATATATTTTTTCTTTTTTTGTCCTGGGTGAGAGGGAGGAAGTGGCTCATCATTATTTACAACAGTAAAAATCTTGAAGCAACTTAAATAGCCAATATAGGAAAGTATTTTGTTTTTTAAAAAGTATAATTTATTCATCCTATAGAATATTATGTCAACCTTAAAAATATTGTATTTGCAAACTTTTAATAACCTACAAAAATATTCACCATAAATGTTAAAAGGTGAAAAACAGGATTTAAAATTGTATATTCAGTATGATTCAAGTAAAGTCACCAAAATGTTAACAGCAGTTTTCATTGAGAGAGATTATGGGTGAATTGTATTGCTTCCTTTCTACTTTTCCATATCTTTCAAACTGGCTACAATAAATATATATTGCTTTATTACTAGAAAAAAAGAAGCAAACATTTGAGAAATAAATAAATGAATGGGATTGGCAGACCTGTATCTTTGGCCAATCTGAAGAAAAATAAGCTAATTTATTCCAGGTGAAATTAAAGTTTTTATCCTCAACTGAGCAGATGTCTCCCAAACTTCCTGTCTGTGAGGCAGAGATGCAAATCCTGTCCAAGGACACAGAGAACCTCTGCCAGTGAGAAGTATAATGAGTAGGCTCAGCTGTTAATAGGATCTTGAACTAAAAATCTGACACTGCCTCTGCAGCCTAATTGGTGTGATTATCACTTAGCCAATTATCACCCTGGGTATTTGCTGATCTAGGGGATCTTTAAGAACACAATCAGTTCTTGAATAATTTGTCCAACACCTTAGGCACAGTTTTTCCATCTGAAAATACACACTGTCACAGGCTCTCTAAGTCTGTTTTCAAACTTTATCAGATGCATTCTAGAACATATTTTAACTATATTATATTGAATTTTACATCCTAAATTAATGGAACTGCTTTAGAAGCATGGGTTTATTTCAGCATAGGGTTGCAAGTACCAGGAGAATGCCATTACTTCAGCTCATATTCCAGTGTTTTATGTTTGGTAGTTGGTATAATTTTGCTCAGTTGATCATAAAGAAATTTTTTAGATTCCACTGATGCAAAAAGAAAAAAGAACTCTTCACAACAAATAATTGAATAGACTTTTAATAGGTAAGATTTTCACCAATTAGGTTTTATTCTCATCTTTGATTTTGTTTTTATTTTATTTTATTTATTATTTTTTTTTGAGACGGAGTCTTGCTCTGTCGCCCAGGCTGGAGTGCAGTGGTGCGATCTCAGCTCACTGCAAGCTCCACCTCCCGGGTTCATGCCATTCTCCTGCCTCAGCTTCCCGAGTAGCTGGGACTACAGGCTCCCACCACCACGCCCGGATAATTTTTTGTATTTTTAGTAGAGATGGGGTTTCACCATGTTAGCCAGGATGGTCTCAATCTCCTGACCTCGTGATCCGCCTGCCTTAGCCTCCCAAAGTGTTGGGATTACAGGCGTGAGCCACTGCGCCCGGCCTATTTTTGTTTTTTGAGACGGCATCTTACTCTGTCTGGAGTCCAGTGGTAGGATCTCAGCTGACTGCAACTTCTGCCTCCCAGGTTCAAGCAGTTCTCCCTGCCTCAGCCTCCCAAGTAGCTGGGATTACAGGCACCCGCCACCATGCCTGGCTAATTTTTGTATTTTTAATAGAGGCGGGGTTTCACAATATTGGCCAGGCTGGTCTTGAACTCTTGACCTCAAGTGATCCGCCAGCCTCGGCCTCCCAAAGTGCTGGGATTACAGGTGTGAGCCACCACACCCAGCTGTTTGATATTTGTTAAGTACTCCTAGTACTTACCTAGGTATAGAATGTGATGATGCCCTTTCCATATTACATAAACATATTTAGTACCATGGCCTTTATTTTCTAATAAAGTAACCGAGAATTAGGACAACTATTCATGTGAATAAAGAAAAGGCTGACTTTTAAATATATACTAATTGCTGTTAATTCTACTGAAATAGCCAACTTTGAAGTTTGAATCTATATAAACCTAAGAAAAATGGTAACATTGACAAAAAAAAAACCAAAAAACTAATGCAAAGCTTAGCAATGTAATAATACTCCTTTTTTTTTTTTTTTTTTTTTGAGACGGAGTCTCAGTCTTGTTGCCCAGGCTGGCTGGAGTGCAATAGTGTGATCTCAGCTCACTGAAACCTCCACTTCCCGGGTTCAAGCAAGTCTCCTGCCTCAGCCTCCCAAGTAGCTGGGATTACAGGTACTCACCACCACGCCCAGCTAATTTTTTTGTATTTTTAGTGGAGACGGGGTTTCACCATGTTGGCCAGGCTGGTCTCGAACTCCTGACCTCAGGTGATCCGCCCACCTCAGCCTCCCAAGGTGCCAGGATTACAGACATGAGCCACTGCGCCCAGGGAAATAATACTTCTTTTTATTTTTAATTTTTAGAGAAAGGTTTTTGCTATGTTGGCCTGGTTGGTCTTGAACTTTTGGCCTCAAGCAATCCTCCTGCCTCGGCCTCCCAAAGTGCTGGGATCACAGGCATGAGCCACTGCACCCAACCATCAATGTAATAATAGTTCTTAGTTTTGTATTAGGAAGTTTATGAGAAAATATTTAAAAGTTGCCCTTAATTTTATAGAAAATCTGGACGAAAGGGTCATTCAAGGAGAAGAGTTGGAATTAAGGACCAGAAGAAAAAATAGCCTAGTTTCTGACTATATGTTGAAAAATAACATTATGACTTATCTCAAGGATTATTTATACAGTCAATTACAAGGTCATTAGAATTGACAGTTGGCTGGGTGAGGTGGCTAATGCCTGTAATCCCAACACTTTGGGAGGCCAAGGTGGGTGGATCGCCTGAAGTTAGGAGTTCGAGACCAGTCTGGCCAACAATGGTGAAACCCCGTACCTACTAAAAACACAAAAAAATTAGCCAGACGTGATGGCGTGCGCCTGTAATCCAAGCTACTTGGGAGGCTGAGGGAGGGTAATTGCTTGAACCAGGGAGGTGGAGATTGCAGTGAGCCGAGATCACGCCACTGCACTGCATGCAGCCTGGGTGACAGAATGAGACTCTGTCTCAAAAAAAGGAAAAAAAAAAAAAGGGCCAGGCACAGTGGCTCATGCCTGTAATCTCAGCACTGTGGGAGGCCAAGGCAGGTGGGTCACCTGAGGTCGTGAGTTTGAGACCAGCCTGACCAACATGCAGAAACCCTGTCTCTACTAAAAACAAAAAAAATTAGCCGGGCGTGGTCATGCATGCCTGTAATCCCAGGTACTAGGGAGGCTGAAGCAGGTCAACGGCTTGAACCCGGGAAGTGGGGGTTGCAGTGAGCTGAGATCTCGCCATTGCACTCCAGCCTGAGTGACAGAGCGAGACTCTATCTCAAAAAAAAAAAAAGGAGTTACAGTTATCAATAAGGCAGTTGAGTTAAATTATTTGATACAAATATTTAAAGGAGAAACCTAAGTGGACAAATACCAAAGCTTCAAGAAGGAATGATATCTACTTGTAAAATAAATATTGGGATTTTAAAGAAACACTGTCATGAAATAAAATATATGCATATTAGCTGGGCACGACGGTGCACACCTGCAGTCTTAGCTACTTGGGAGGCTGAGGCAGGAGGACTCCTTGAGCCCAGGCGTTCAAGTCCAGCTTGGGCAACACAGCAAGACCCTGTCTTTTTTTTTTTTTTTTTTTTGTGACAGAGGAGTCTTGCTCTGGCGCCCAGGCTGGAGTGCAGTGACGTGATCCCCGCTCAATGCAACTTCCACCTCCCGAATTCAAACGATTCTCCTGCCTCAGTCTCCTGAGTAGCTGGGACTACAGGGGCACGCCACCACGCCCAGCTATTTTTGTATTTTTAGTAGAGACGGGGTTTCACCATGTTGGCCAGGATGCTCTTGATCTCCTGACCTCGTGATCCGCCCGCCTCAGCCTCCCAAAGTGCTGAGATTACAGGCTTGAGCCACCATGCCCAGCCAACCCTGTCTCTTAAAAAAAAAAATATATATATATATATATATGCATATTTCGTAATGGTTATGCCTATTACACAATTTTAAAATAATAGTTTTTGAAAATGCTATTACTTAATGTTAATTGTTGTTTGATATTTATTTTTATTTTTTTGAGACAGTCTCCCTCTGTCACCCAGGCTGGAGTACAGTGGTGTGATCAAAGCTAACTGTGGCATTAAACTCCTGGGGTCA
The DNA here is from genome assembly GCF_000001405.40 of Homo sapiens. Lineage (NCBI taxonomy): Eukaryota > Metazoa > Chordata > Mammalia > Primates > Hominidae > Homo > Homo sapiens. Next base: position 32,391,700 of record NC_000012.12, on the reverse strand, counting down.
AGCAGTCCTCACACCTCAGATTCTGTAGCTGGGACTACCAGCACGTACCACCATGCTTGGCTAATTTTTTAATAGAGATGAGGACTCATTATATTGCCTATGGTGGTCTCAAACTCCTGACCTCAAATTGATCCTCCTGCCTTGGCCTCCCAAAGTGCTGGGATTATAAGCGTGAGCCACTGCACCTGGTCTGATATTTTTAGATGGACAATTAGTTCTACAAAAATTGAAAAAAAATTGTATATAGATGACTTAATATTTTTTAAAACTGAAGCAACCATGATGTGAAAAGAAATATTTTTTTTCTTATTTCATCTTTGTGATGAGGCCCGACCTGATCACCCCATTTAATAATCTGTTTTACTTTCTCCCTATCCCAATCTGACACAATCTTTTTTCCCTGTTCTTTTTATTTTTACCTTACAGTTTCATAATCTAACATACTGAGAGATGACAACGTGCTAGCAGCCCTTGCTCGCTCTCAGCGCCTCCTCCGCCTCGGCGTCCGCTCTGGCCGCACTCGAGGAGGCCCTTCAGCCCGCCACTGCGCTATGAGGGCCCCTCTCTGGGGCTGGCCGAGGCCTGAGCCGGCTCCCTCTGCTCTCGCGGAAGTGTGAAGAGAGAGGCGCTGCAAGAGCCAGGGGTGCGCGCGGCGCTCGCGGGTCGGCGCGAGTTCCAGGTGAGCGCGGGCTCGGCAAGCCCCGCACTCGGCGCGACCGGCTGGCGCCTGCTGGGTTTGATCGGGGGGACGAGTTCCCTCTGGGCTGCCAGAGTGCCCGGGCTACGTGCCGCAAAGTCCCGCAGCGGTGAGTGCCATTGAGAGGTGAAGCTGGCTGGGCTTCTGGGTGGGGTGGGGACTTGAGAACTTTTCTGTCTAGCTAAAGGATTGTAAATGCACCAATCAGCACTCTGTGTCTGCCTAAAGGTTTGTAAACGCACCAATCAGCACTCTGTCAAAACGGACCAATCAGCGCTCTGTAAAGCGGACCAATCAGCTCTCTGTAAAATGGACCAATCAACAGGATGTGGGTGGGGCCAAATAAAGGAATAAAAGCAGGCCACCGCTAGTAGCAGCAATCGGCTCGGTCCACTTTTAGGTAGTAGAGGTTTTGTTCTTTTGCTCTTCGCAATAAATCTTACTGCTGTTCAGTCTTTGGGTCTGCTGCTGTGTTTAAGCTGTAACATTCACTGGGAAGGTCTGTAGCTTCACTCCGGGAGCCAGGGGGGCTACAAACCCACCAGAAAGAATAAACTCCAGACACATCTGAACATAGGAAAGAAAAGACTCCGGACACACAGTGTGTAAGAACTGTAATATTCACTGTGAGGGTCCAGGGCCTCAAGACCAAGAACCCAACAATTCCGGATACAATACTATGATAGTTATATAATTATCATGCAACTCTTTTCTGTTCGTTTATTTGAGACAGAGTCTCCGTCTGTTGCCAAGGCTGGAGTGCAGTGGTGCGATCCCGGCTCACTGCAACCCCCCGCCCCCCCGGTTCAAGGGATTCACTTGTTTCAGCCTCCCCGAGTAGCTGGGATTAGGGGTGCACGCCACCACGCCCAGCTGCTTTTTTTTTCAGGACCTCAGGTGATCTGCCCACCTCAGGCTCCCAAAGTGCTGGGATTACAGTTGTGAGCCACTGCACCCAGCCACTAATATTATTTTTAATAACAGTACCTAGATAATTGGAGTCCTATATATTGACATGTGTGAAATTCATTCATTCACTTATACATTCCTTAATTCAGCAAGTTTTTTTTTTTGAGATGGAGAGTCTCTGTCACCCAGGCGGGAGTGCAGTGGCACGATCTCGGCTCACTGCAAGCTCCGCCTCCCGGGTTCACGCCATTCTGCCTCAGCCTCCCGAGTAGCGGGGACTACAGGCGCCGGCCACCATGCACGGCTAATTTTTTGTACTTTTAGTAGAGACGGGGTTTCACCGTGTTAGCCAGGATGGTCTCAATCGCCTGGCCTCATGATCTGCCCGCCGCGGTCTCCCAAAGTGCTAGGATTACAGGCGTGAGCCACCGCGCCTGGCAATTCACCAACTATTGAGAACTTATTTTGTGCCAGATTCTACTCTAGGCGTTTAAGATGCATTAGGGAAGAAAACGAAGGTTCATACCTTTTGGAAGTTACTATCATATATGTACCATGGATGGAAAGAGACACAAAAAACAGTAGTATCGGCTGGGCACCGGTGGCTCACACCTGTAATCCCAACACTTTGGGAGGCCGAGGTGGGTGGATCACTTGAGGTCAGGAGTTAAGGGACCAGCCTGGCTAACATGGTAAAACCCCGTCTCTACTAAAAATACAAAAAATTGGCTAGGTGTAGTGGTGCATGCCTGTAATCCCAGCTACTTGGGAGGCTGAGGCAGGAGAATTGCTTGAACACGAGAGGTGGAGGTTGCTGTGAGCCGAGATCGCCCATTACACTGCAGCCTGGGCAACAAGAGCGAAACTCTTAATAATAATAATAGCTACTAAAGACTAAACACTGGTTGAAAGTTGTTATATATGTTATTTCATTTAATCTTTGCAATAACCTTGCCAAGTAGGCTGTTTTTGTTTGTTTGTTTGTTTGTTTTGCTAGGTTTTGCTCTGTTGCCCAGACTGGAGTGCAGTGGCACTATCTTGGCTCACTGCAACCTCCACCTCCCAGGTTCAAGCAATTCTCCCTCTCTCAGTCTCCCAAATAGCTGGGGATTACAACCACGGCCACCACACCTGGCTGATTTAGAGCCGGGGTTTCACCATGTTGGCCAGGCTGGTCTCAAACTCCTGACCTCAAGTGATCCACCCAGCCGGCTTTTTTTCCCCCGATGTCGGGTGATCCAGCCGCCGTGGCGTCCCAAAGTGCTGGGATTACAGGCATGAGCCACTGTGCCCAGCCCAAGTAGGCAATTTTTAATCCTTGTTTGAAAAACAAGACCACTTAAGCTTGGAGAGGGTAAGAACCTTTCTAAAGTGACAGAGCTAGTAAGTGCGTGCCAGGGTTAGAATTTGAATAAAATTTTGTGTTTTTAAAAATAGTTCTGCTGACATAGTCTGCTATGGAACAAATACTCATCTAGATTTTGTGCACTTTTTGTTTGTTTGTTTTGAGATGGAGTCTCGCTCTGTCGCCCAGGCTGGAGTGCCGTGGCACGATCTCGGCTAACTGCAAGCTCCAGCTCTCGGGTTCACGCCATTCTCCTGCCTCAGCCTCCGGAGTAGCTGGGGCTACAGGCACCCACCACCATGCCCGGCTAATTTTTTTGTATTTATTTTTAGTAGAGAAGGGGTTTCACCGCATTAGCCAGGATGGTCTCGATCTCCTGACCTCGTCATCTGCCCGCCTCGGCCTCCCAACGTGCTGGGATTACAGGCGTGAGCCACCGCACTCGGCCGATTTTGTGCTTTTATTTATGGCTTCATTGTGAAATTTTTGAGAGCCCACGTTATCTTAATTTTTTTCCTTTGGATAAATCATTTATTTACATGGCTGAAAACAATATGTAAGAAAGGCATTCGTGCACTGAAAGAGTCTGGCTTCCACCCTTTTATCATACCCTCTGCTCTTTTACAGATAACCATTTCTATTGGTTTCCACTGTTACTTTATCCAAAACAAGAAACACTTACTATATATTTTTATATTATCCTTTTTTTACATATAGGGTGGTTTACTACACATGAGCACCCGTATATTCAAAATAAATGGATTTCAATTAGGTAAATAATTTCTTTTTTTATTTATTTGGAATAAAGGTTGATATGAATCACTGATTAATCTTGGACTAATAGCTCTTTTCAGTTAGGCAAATCTTCCTGTGACATTTGACTGACATTATTAATATTTTACAACTTCAAAGGACATCAAACTATAAAAGTATCAGTAGGGTTCTTAAATTAGTTTTACTTTAATATACACTAATTAAAATGTCTACTGTTGCTTTTTTAAAGATTTAAAGATTTTTATAATCTTAGTATGACCTGATACACATATCAGAGTTGTTTAGAAATTTTGAGTTGACATGTTATGGCTACATTGGAATAAGGAAGTATTGCAAGATTCAACTTTAGAACTCATTGATATATTAGCATTAAATATTTTTCCCCAGGACGTAAACACATTAGTATTTTTCCTTCCAAGCACAGAAACTTAGAAGTATATTTTGTTAAAAACAAAGCCCAGTTTCTTTTTTTTTATAACTTTTTTTTTTTTTTTTGGAGACAGTGTCTCACTCTGTCACCCAGGCTGGAGCACAGTGGCACAATCTCAGCTCTCTGCAACTTCTGCTTCCTGGTTTCAAGCCATTCTCTTGCCTCAACCTCCTGAGTAGCTGGGATTACAGGTGCACACCACCAAGTCTGGCTAATTTTTGTATTTTTAGTAGAGACGGGGTTTCACCATGTTGGTCAGGCTGGTCTCAAACTCCTGACCTCGTGATCCACCTGCTTCAGCCTCCCAAAGTGGTGGGATTACAGGCGTGAGCCACAGCGCCTGGTCACCAAAGCCCAGTTTCTGAATAGCTACATTCAGTGTTGAGATCCTGAATCATTATTTCAGCATATTCTGGGGCATGGCTGGCTTCATGGCCTGTGGATCCCTGCAGTCAAACAAAGCCCTGTGCTTAGAAGGACCTCATGTTTGGCCTAATGCATTGCTATCACTGTCTTGAAATTCTTCTTATTTTTTGATCAAGGAGCCCCGCATTTTCATTTTGCACTGGGACTAGCAAATTAGATAAAGCCCATCTTGGGATATGAAACATACATCTATCCTACTATTTATAGTCTTTCACCTGACTTTAGTAGTAACAGAAGCTAACTTACTGAATTATCTTTCTTTTATCCCCTACTGATATAGATAATAAGGAAAATGAGGGGCCGGGGGCGGTGGCTTACACCTGTATTCCAAGCACTTTGGGAGGCCAAGGCAGGTGGATCACCTGACATCAGGAGTTTGGGACCAGGCTGGCCAACATGGTGAAACCCCATCTCTACTAAAAATACAAAAATTAGCTGGGCGTGGTGGCAGGCGCCTGTAGTCCCAGCTACTCCAGAGGCTGAGGTAGGAGAATCGCTTGAACCTGGGAGGTGGAGGTTGCAGTGAGCTGAGATCGCCCCATTGTACTCCAGCCTGAGCAACGAGTGAAACTGAAAACTAAAAACTAAATAAATAAATTAATCTTTAAAAAAAAAAAGGGGGGGCCAGGCGCAGTAGCTCACGTCTGTAATCCCAGCACTTTGAGAGGCCAAGTCGGGTGGATCACGAGGTCAGGAGATTGAGACCATGCTGGTTAACATGGTGAAACCCCATCTCTACTAAAAATACAAAAAAATTAGCTGGGCGTGGTGGCAGGTGCCTGTAGTCCCAGCTACTCAGGAGGCTGAGGCAGGAGAATGGCATGAATCCACGAGGCAGAGCTTGCAGTGAGCCGAGATCGCGCCACTGCACTCCAGGCTGGGCGACAGAGCGAGACTCCATCTCAAAAAAAAAAAAGGAAAAAAGAAAAGAAGGCAACAAGGTATTCTGTAACATTTCTTTACTATTTAACAAGAAGCCACTATATTTATGATTTATTTATCTTTATGTTGCTTCCTACATTCAAATTATATTATAAATTGTTTACTTTTGACACTTGAAATATTTTTCCCAGAGATTTATCTTCCTTGACAGTTATTTTGTGGATTAATTATTCTGAGGGTCTTCTAAAGCATTTAAGTGTACTTGATTCATAAATTAAGAAACTCAACTGGGCATGGTGGCTCATGCCTGTGTAATCCCAGCACTTTGGGAGTCTGTGGCAGGAGGATTGCTTGAGTCTAGGGCTTTCAGACCAGACTGGGCAACATAGGGAGACCTCATCTTTACAAAAAATAAAAAATTAGCTGGGCATGATGGTGTGCACCTGTGGTCCTAGCTACTTGGGAGGCTGCAGTGGGAGGATCAGTTGAGCCTATGAGGTCAGGGCTGCAGTGAACTGTGATCTTGCCAGTGCATTCCAGCCTGGGCAACAGAGCAAGATCTTGTCACACACACAAAAAAAAGAATTCTTAGATTATTTCATCATACATACTTAGCCTCCTATTACAGTGTTAAGAGATCTAGTTTTTAGATTCACTAAGACAGAATGACAGGAATAAGCATTCACTTAATTTAAAGGCCATTTCCCCCAATTAGTTGATATTTAGTGCCTGCTGTAATTATATAAGTAGGTGACATTAGGTTCTGTAAACTCAATTCTGGATGTCTTATGAGAAAGCTAGATGTCAAGAAGCCAAGAAACTCACTTCTCAGGAACAACTACTCTAATTCAAAATTGACTGAGTTCCTACAATGTGCTAGTCAGCATGTGTACGACCAAAAACCAAGAAAATCCTTTCCTGGCTGGGCGAGGTGGCTCATGTCTGTAATCACAACACTTTCAGTGTCTGAGATGAGAGAATTACTTGAGTCTAGGAGCTCAAGACCAGCCTAGGCAACATAGTGGGACCTCATCTGTACAAAAAAATTAAACAATTAGCCAGGCATGGTGGTATATGCCTGTGATCCCAACTACTTGGGAGGCCGAGGTGGCAGAATCATTTGAGCCCAGGGGGTCGAGGCTGCAGTGAGCCAAGATCATCCCACTGCACTCCTGCCTGGGTGGCAGAGTGAGGCCATGTTTCAAAAGAAAAAAAAAATCCGGCTGGGTGCGGTGGCTCACGCCTGTAATCCCAGCACTTTGGGAGGCCGAGGCGGGTGGATCATGAGGTCAGGAGATGAAGACCATCCTGTCCAACATGGTGAAACCCCGTCTCTACTAAAAATACAAAAATTAGCTGGGCATGGTGGTACGTGCCTGTAATCCCAGCTACTCAGGAGGCTGAGGCACGAAAATAGCTTGAACCAGGAAGTCGGAGGTTGCAGTGAGCCAAGATCATGCCACTGCACTCCAGCCTGGGAGACAGAGCAAGACTCCCTCTTTAAAAAAGAAGAAGAAGAAGAAAGAAGGAAGAAGGAAGAAGAGGAAGAGGAAGAAGAGGAGAAGAGAAGGAGAAGGAGAAGAAGAAAGAAGAAGAAAAGAAGAAGAAGAAGAAGAAGAAGAAGAAGAAGAAGAAGAAGAAGAAGAAGACGGAAATCCCTTCCACAAGTTCCCATCGATTCTGCTCTCTTTCTCATCCCTTGTGGGTTGCAATATAGGCTGTCCAAGTTGCCTGCAAAATGTATAGATGAGAAGAGACTTTCTTGATGCGTCCAGCTGTTTTCACTTTTGAATGTGGCAGACTATCAGCTTTATCATGTAAGAGAAAGTCAAGTATCAAATAGACTTATAGATCCAACCTCCAAGAAAAACAAAAGCTTTTGGAAGAGAAAAAGGAGAAATTTGTAGAAAAGTTTACATTATTATTTCTAGTGTTGTATTTATGCAACAGGTGAGCAGACAGCTTTTGCCAGGATGTTGGCTGCCCGTGTTGCACGAATTTGATTAGCTATAATGAGGATTGCATTAGACGTTTTAACTCACTAGAACACCATGTTCTATCTGCCTCTCCCCCTCCTCCACCCTTTAAATAAAATCGAATCAAAGTGGATGGTTCCCAAAGCAGCTGATTTACTACAATATGTATTTGTAGGAGGAGCTAGAAAATTAACCTCCCTCAAAGTTTTGGAACTCTGCTGTTCCAAAAAGAACAAAGAGGAATTGTCTCCCAAAATAATGCATAGAAACTTCATTCTTCTTTCATCAAAATAATGTTTCCTGTTTTAGGGCAAGCATTTTCTTCATGTTGGTACATTTCTAATCAAATTCAGCCAAGTATATCCTCCTGCCAAAATAGCTTTCTAGAAAAGATTACAAGTAGAAGAGGTGATAACTGGAGGAAATGAGCAGAGTTGATACACATTACTTACCAGGAATGTATAGAATTGTTGTTAAAGCAAAGCATTTAGTTTTTAGTTCAAATAAGTTCTTACTTTGAATAAACATATAGATCACATCTGAATTCATATAGTCTTTTCCTTTTTGTAAGTATACATCAAAATGACATACAGAAAAACTGCTCAAATTGATAAAAAGGCAGCATTAATGAAATGAACAAAAAATAACCAGTTTATTTACTGGAAAAAGTTATGCATTACACCATATTCAGTTGGTAACATAAACCGAGATATAAGAATCGATATATTGGCTTCTGGTTATTTTCTTAGCACTGGAGTGCCTTTTCCAACCATTGAGTGCATGATCAGATTACACAAATACAAGCACATATCATGTGTTCTCCCATGAGACATTATTCACTTAGGATTGTCTACAATAAAAAAAGTTAAAGTACAAGCAATAATAAATTCATAAGAATTTTTTGAATTTAAAATAAATGCATGTGTCTTTGAGAACATTTCTTTTGAAATTCATATTTTTAAAAATAACAAGTTTCTTAAATCAGTCTTTTAGTCGTGTTTTCATATGGTATTTATCAGTAGGTGGAAACACTTCACATCATTTAACCCCAAAAGGCATAATAATTAAACTGCAATTAAATGTAGGAACAGTTGAATCATTACAACAATAATACGGTGTACAAATCAGAGTTGGCCACACAATACACATGTTAATACTGGAAAGAAATACAATATCAGAATCATGGATGGTTCATCACATAAGCATAATCATGCAAATAAAAACAGAGTAGATTATAAAAATGTCATAAGAGATTTTCAAATAGTAATTGTTTGACTCTCATAGTCAAACCATTGAGCTTTAACATTTTGTGGGAATAATGTTAAAATGATGTATTTCCTCTAAGACTGGCTGCACAAATCATACCTATGAACCCAATGAGTCATTCTGTATCTCCATTATCTATCATTGAATAATTATTTTTAAATAAAATGATATTTCCCCTTACTTTATAGTTCTCTCATCTTTGTTTTAAAATGACTTTTTAAAAAGAAAAACATATTTACACTAAGAAGCACCAGATTTACTTCTCGGTGTTTTCATTAGAGAACAATGATTGAGGAATAATTCTGAAAGAAAAAAAGTAAAAAATGTGTTCTCAACAAGTGTTCTACAGCAATTAAACTCCAATCACAGGAATAATCTGGCTCAGCAGTTTATCCAGGCTTCAGCTTAAATAGGGCAAATTTTAAATAACTCGAGAAGGGATAAAAATACACTGAGGATTAGAGCCATGCAGTTCAATATGGAAAGGAGACTAGATATAGATAACAATCTCCTTACTTTCCTAATGGACAGAAGATCACAGAGAAATGAGACTTCTATAGTGTTCATCTTATGAATATGGGAAAGCTTACATGATGTGAAATAATTCATGCAAACATTTTACATTGCATATTTCTATGCACTCTCGCCCTTACACTAAAGGCAGTTAATTGCTCTTCTTCTTCTTAAGTAGAATATTCTGGAAAATTCTCAATTGGGGAACATGTCTTAATACTAAATATCTCTTTCAATTACACTTTGAATAATAAGGACGAAAGACATGTCTAGATGAAATCTTTCAGCTGTAAACATAATACGATCAGGTTACAAACGCAATACATTAGGGACTATGGCAGTTAAGTTCGCATATAAATAAAGATGAACTTAATTTTAGACACAACTCATCCGAGGGCATTATTACAGACAATGGAAAATGTCACTCGGGAGCTAGATTGATCTTGTAGTTCCATAGAAGTTGATTTTAAGGTAAAAAAGTACTTGTCAGTATCAGCACTGATCATGCTCTCTGTCATAACCTATCATAACTCCAGTTCAACAGCTTTTTGAAGAATTATGTTCCCTTTACTTGAAAACATACTCTTGTACATTTTTTGCAGCCTTAAATATAAGGGTTACTTAAAAATCACTCTAGTTTATAAACAAACAAAAAAACTGGAGGGCAACCTTTTTAAAATTGTGAACTTTATCCCATAAGTTTCTTTCAAATTTAGTCCTACTTCCTACCTACCATATCAATGTATTTGTGGCAGCCTGAGTTTGAACCCACCACAGTTCCTTACTGGAAATCCATCAGCTTCCCCCAATGTCTCTGAGGGACAGATTGTAACTTTTGGCTGATTGATTATGACAATTATACATTAAAATTGACACTCATCCCAGAAGAAAAGATATTTCATTTCTTCCTTTTCATGTTTTGTGATCTCCATTTGAGACATGTAGAGAACTTTAATTAATACAGAATATCAAGAAATCTCCACATTCTTAGGTTATTGGACCAATGTTTCATGCTTGTTTCAAACAGAAGAACTTATCTGCACAAGGATATTTTCCAAAGCACGAAAAAAGCAAATGTTGTAGACTGAAGATCCTTTTAAATAAAGACGAAATCTGAAATGTGTTTGCCCCCCACTAAGGGATTGCATACCTTCTATTTCTGAAGTATTCCTGAGGACATTGTTTTTTTAGACTCTGACAATTGAATTTTTTTAGTAAAAGTCCTATATTCTGAACAATTTTAAAGATACCATGGAATATAGCTGAAAGAAAAAATAATACCAACGATCATTTTTTTCCAACAAATATCTTGGAAAAATAAAGATTGCCATCCTATTTTCAAATATAAAATATTTTATGATTAACCAGTAAAATTTTAATGTATTTTAAAACTTAAAATAAAAGAATCACAGGATTATGAGCTCCCAGAACTGAAATGCATTCTCCTATCTTGCCACTTAATACTTACTAGACCACCAATGATATTCAATTTTTACAAAACAAATATTCTTTATGATTATCAATTTCCACGTTAATTTCCCAGTGTTAAAAATCTCTTTCCTAGAGTTACTATACATCCTTCACACTGAAGCCTTTTTTATTCTAGACTTAGTAACAATATCTATAGCTGATATCTATCATTTGTTAAATATTCTTTTCTTGAAGACTACTATTGTACCTCCTCTTCGTTAGACTAAAGTATAATTTCTAAATAGGTCTTTTCTTATTTAACAGTTTTCCTTTTTCTCAAAGTTCTCCAAATTATTTTATTAGAATCCAGAGTTGGATATATGAATGGGATCTAATGGATTATGTGTGGACCAGAAAGATTAAGCCAAGCTCCTTTATTTATGCCACTCAGCACTCAGGCCAAAGACAATTTATTGCTTCTTCTTATTTTTTGATTAAGGAAAATCCTCAGGAGAAAAGCATTTCTCCATACTATTCAATATTGTAATTGTGCTTACTTTTAAAAAACTACCTGTTTACTTTGCTAACTACTTTTACTAGTTAGCATTAATCTTTGCTCACTCTGTTTGCAATAATTAGCCAGTATTTTTTAGTGCATTTCTGCTGTTTATTTTTCCTCTCCAAGTATGTCTTCAATTAGTCTTACTGGAGTTCATTCTTTTTGGTTCTCACTAGTTCTGCCCCTTTTCAATTTCCTTTTGAATTCCTGATGTTATCTTTACAGATACTGATTTTTATCAACACTACACATACTGATTCACTTTAAATGCCTATAAATAAATATGGCTCAGTGTAAACTATACTAAATGATGCCACAGTGTAAATACATGGTATTCTCTCTTACTGCTTAGGGACTATCACTTAATTTTGTGCTGAAAATGAGAAATTTATTTCCAAGTTTCTATAACTTCTTGGCAAAGATTCACTAAAATTATTATTTTCATAGAATTAGTATTTCAGAAAAAGACTTTCCCACTCTATGAAGATAAATAACTGAAATGAAACTAGTTTATAATAGACGTAATAATACACTTTGTATTGGAAGAAATGTTTTGTGGGTGACCCGGCTTTTCATGGAGTCCTAGATTCAGAGTTAGGGATAAAGAATGCAAATACAACATTGCCGACTGGCAATACTGCCCCGTCATCACACACAGACAATACTTCCTGCTGAACTCCCAGTCCCACCAAACAAAACCGATGAGACGATCTACGAACATGTTCTGAGGTACTTTTTAAAAAGGCATATATTTCCCTCAGGCACAAACAGTTTTTTATTAAAAGTCAACTTAGCAGCTATGCCACTTCTCAGGTCCAAATACGTGGTGCTTGAGAAAGGGGGAAAAATAAAAAACACAAAGTGAGGGCAGGGGTAAGCTTTCTTTCATTGAACTCTGATAAAATCCACAGTCTCACTAATACTGGTACTAGGCAGATACAACGCCAGTGAAATGAAGACAATGTTTAGGAACAGCAAGGCCATGCAGGTAGAAAAGAGCAGAAGGTTAGGCTGCTATGGTTGGGAACTTCATGTCGAATCGTTTTGTTTCTGTTTCTGTACTTTAACCTGAACCCTTATTTTGGTGAAGATTTCAACTCTTTACTCCACGTTGCATAATAAATGACACTGTGGAAAATAGCACTCATATAAAGAACACAAAACGTCCTGGTTGCTTTGGTAATAGCGACCACTACTTAATAGGCGTATGACTAACGAAAGCTCCTGCAATGTGCTTTACGACTTACCATTTGGTCTCTGATGGACCACTCCATTTCTGTGCCACCCATGTCCGCTCAATAAGCTGAGTGGCTCCTGGATCTCCTTTCTCAGTGCCCTACACTGGTAACTGTCCTTTGTGTTAACAGTGAGGGTCATTTTTGTTTTGAAGAGAAGTTACAGATGTCTTTATATGAAAAGGTCAAACCCTTATGGTTTTAAATAAGTTAAGGCTACCTGACAAAGACAAGGAATCAGGGCTAGGAGCAATTGTGTGGGCAGCACTTGATGGTTAAGGAGCCCGAGAGTGTTAGACCTTTCAGCTCAGTTAGCTGTTTTCCTTGTTTGTCAGATTATGTGCAAAATAAATTTTGCTATGAAAATCCACTGCCTTAAATCAAGTCATAAAAGTTACCCAGCAGAATCTGTAAATTAACCAGGAACATGTATTATCTCAAGATAATAGAATGTTTGTAGGCACCTGAGTGTTTGTCAAAAGTAGACAATGAGCTAAGGTTTATTATCTATTGTTTTTTTGGCAAGGAAGATTCGTTATGAAAAAAACTAACAACAACAAAACATACAATTTTAATCAAACTTTGAACACTCTCTGGGTAAATTAATTAATTAAAGGCTATCTTACATCTATATATGTATATATTTTCCCATTTGTACTTGATACCTTTTATCAGGAAAGACTCAGTAGGACCCTGATTTTGGGAGAAGTAAAAAAAATTCTGGTCATTAAATAAACACACCATTTTTTTCCCTTCAAGTTATTGAGCCTTCTTTAACGTTATCACACACATACACACATACAAAGGAGCAGCACCAGTACATCTACTCAACTGCAATGAAAAAATAAAAGTAAAGATGCCATCAAAACTTGAATAAGTCAATAAATCATAACTTAGTCTCTTTCTTAGATTTACTTAGTAATGTCCAGTGAAGAACTCTAGTTAAAAATACAAAAACAAAACCCAGCAGTTAATGAGCTACTGATTAGAAAGTAAGTGCCTAAACAATACCAGCGTAGCAGCAAAATACAGTTATTGTTAACATTCTGATGCACCTCATTTATCATTTTGTGCAAGAAAAATGACCACAGTCTGGCCAATTCCAGATTTCAAACTAAATTCAAACTCATACTTAATTGAGCAAATTATGCTTATTTGAAAATAAATGAATTAAATTCACCTCAGAGAAATTATTTGTATAGACATAAATCATGTAGCAAATAAAGTACAAAATAAATATCAATGACAAACATATTGGAATCAACTTCCCTAGCTGAATTTGGAGTGTGAGGAAAGATGATACTGCAATATACGTATTTTACATGTCTTAGGTCTCTCTTATGCTATCGAGGTAAAGCCAGCCATCTGAGACACGTTTTCTGTTTCTTTTTTCTTTTTTTTAAATTTAAATGAACTGTAGCCATTTGATGGCAGAAGTTTATCTGTGACTCAGAGAAACCACAAAATGTTTTATCACATCAGGGTCTGTGCTTCGTGTTCTTCTCAACTTTCTCTCGTCTTCCAAAACGATGGACATTAATCCAATTGTACATCTAACAACCGAGAAGAAAACACCCGCTGGATCTTGGGCAGTATCCTGTGTGTGGCTACAAAACTTCCACCCCAGATGTTCGTCCACAGGAGATGAAGACTAGGGGTGAGGAGGCTTGGAGAGACAGTGGAGAGGGGCGCACTGGGAGCTGGAATGTGGCTGCTCCTCAGGGAGAGCTGTGTCAGGACTGGAAAGGAGAAACAAGCACGTCAGCAAGAAACACATTTCAAAGGGCCAGGCACAATGGTAGGGGTTAGACGAGATATTTTTGCATAGATTTTGAGAACAAGAACAGAAATCTGCACAGTAAATGGTTTCCATCTAAAGCATGCCAAGATAATGGTAGCTTTTCAAAACAAGGCATAAAAAAGAAAAATGAAATGTATTAAGGAAATGATATATGCACTCTTCCCTCAAAGTCACTCTTCTCTTTTCTTGTTTTCCCTATTTTCTTGCCCCCAGCATTTTACAGAAGTTCTTCTCAATTTTTGCACGGTCTTGTTCTCCTAGGTCTCTGTGTTAGCTGTAAGATTTCATGAGATCAGTTCTTTTCAAACTTTAATATGCATGCAAATTACCTGGGGAGCTCAGTATAAAGGGCAGATTCGGATTCATTAGGTGTGGGGTGAGATCTGAGATTCTACATTTTTAATGAGCTCCCAGTGATGCTGATGGTACTGACAGGTTGACCAAGGCTTTGGAGTTTAGAGGATTCTATAGTTATCTGGTAGATCCAGATTCACTAGGATAAAGAATTTGCCTGTGGAAGTCTAATTTGCTCTAAGAATTCCCCCTACCTGCTTGGGCTTGGAGGTATAAGGAAGAGTTTTATATTTCACCCCCCCCCCCCTTTTTTTTTTAGATGGAGTCTCGTTGTTTTGCCCAGGCTGGTGTGCAGTGGCTCCATCTCAGCTCACTGCAGCCTCCGCCTCCCGAGTTCAAGCGATTCTCCTGCCTCAGCCTCCCGAGCAGCTGGGATTACATGCATGCACTACCATGCCCTGCCAATTTTTGTATTTTCAGTAGTGATGGGGTTTTGCTATGTTGGCCAGGCTGGTCTCGAACTCCTGACCTCTGGTGATCCACCTGCCTCGGCCTCCCCAAGTGTTGGGATTACAGGCGTGAGCCACCGAGCCCAGCCTAACATTTCCCATTTGTTAAGTGTATAATGTAACTTTCCAAACGACGCCTGTGATAGCCTCTAGTTTAAATGAACCTGTGCTCAGGCCTATCAGGGTCTGGATGAATAATCTTGAAGAATAAAGAAGCAAAATCATTGAGTTTCCTAGGGTAAAATGACAAAACACATTTGGGTTTGGGCCTTTTAAAATTTGACTAGCGGCCGGGCGCGGTGGCTCACACCTGTAATCCCAGCACTTTGGGAGGCCAAGGCAGGAGGATTATGAGGTCAAGAGATTGAGACCATCCTGGCCAACATGGTGAAACCCTGTCTCTACTAAAAATACAAAAAAAAAATTAGCTGGGTATGGTGGCGTGTGCCTGTAGTCCCAGCTATTCGGGAGGCTGAGGCAGGAGAATCACTTGAACATGGGAGGCAGAGGTTGCAGCGAGCCAAGATGGCGCCACTGTACTCCAGTTTGGCAACAGGGCGAGACTCCGTCTCAAAAAAAAAAAAAAAATGTGACTAGCAATGGGGGAATCACAACATGGAGATTTGTTTTTTTAATTAGAAAAGAGTATTTTTCTAAAACTCTGTTATATTCCCTTAAACTATGAAAGTCAGTACTATATAATTCATTTCTACCAGAAGTGATGTTTGAGAGAACAATTCAAGGCTCATTATTACTATTAATTTAAGCATAGCTTTTTAAAGCTAATTAAAATTAGCTTTAAATTTAATGGAGTTTAAAATGTAATGGAGTCATTAAAATTAGTATTAAATAATTTTTATCTTTGGTACTGAAATTATCCTCTACCTATATCTCTTGCATTTTAATACAAAATCATAATTATGGAAAATATCTGACTGGCTTGAGGTTATTCTTTCTTCCCAAACTCTTTGAAGTGCTGTAAATATAGTTTAAAAGAAGCTTTGCTGTTCTGTACTGGTTAAGACAAGCAGTGATAAAAATTGTTTTTCCTACCTATTTTTAAAATGTGGTATGTAAACATGGGAGAACTGGACCTTCAACAAAAAGCCTAAGAAAATAGCGCATAGTTTCATTTGTAAATTTTTTTGATATGGAATCTCACTGTCGCCCAGGCAGGAGTGCAGTGGCACGATCTCGGCTCACTGCAACCTCTGCCTCCTGGGTTCAAGCAATTCTCCTGCTTCAGCCTCCCGAGTA
Source organism: Homo sapiens (assembly GCF_000001405.40). Taxonomy (NCBI): domain Eukaryota; kingdom Metazoa; phylum Chordata; class Mammalia; order Primates; family Hominidae; genus Homo; species Homo sapiens. The sequence goes on along the minus strand of NC_000012.12, from coordinate 32,375,417 downwards.
GCTGGGATTACAAGGGCCCACCACCGCGTCCGGCTAATTTTTTGTATTTTTAGTAGAGACGGACTTTCACCATTTTGGCCAGGCTGGTCTCGAACTCCTGACTTCAAGTGATCTGCCCACCTCGGCCTCTCAAAGTGCTGAGATTACACACACGAGCCACCGTGCCCGGCCTCATTTATAAATTGGAAAATAAGCCTGGGCGCGGTGGCGCACGCCTGTAATCCCAGCACTTCAGGAGGCCAAGGCGGGCGGATCATGAGCTCAGGAGATAGAGACCATCCTGGCCAACATGGTGAAACCCCGTCTCTACTAAAAATAATTAAAAAAAAAAATTAGCTGGGCGTGGTGGCGGGCGCCTGTAGTCCCAGCTACTCCGGAGGCTGAGGTAGGAGAATGGCGTGAACCCGGGAGGCGGAGCTTGCAGTGAGCCGAGATCGCGCCATTGCACTCCAGCCTGGACGACAGAGCGAGACTCCGTCTCAAAAAAAAAAAAAAAAAAAAAAAAAAGGAAAATAAATGAAGAAAATCTTAGGCCAAGCATAGTGGCTCACGCCTGCAATCCCAGCACTTTGGGAGGCCGAGGCAGGCGGATCACCTGTGGTTGGGAGTTCAAGACCATCCTGACCAACATGGAGAAACCCTGTCTCTACTAAAAATACAAAAAAAAAAAAAAAAAAAAAAAATTAGCCGGGCGTGGTGGCACATGCCTGTAATCCCAGCTACTCAGGAGGCTGAGGCAGGAGAATCGCTTGAACCCGGGAGGCAGACGTTGCGGTGAGCTGAGATCACGCCATTGCACTCCAGCCTGGGTAACAAGAGCAAAACTCCGTCTCAAAAAAAAAAAAAAAAGAAGAAAGAAAAGAAAATATTTAAAACAGAAAATAATGTATGGCAAGATTCACACTTGACCCTCCAAACAGAGTTTGACGGCCTGGTAAACAGCAGGTTATAGGCCAGACTTTCCCATCGACCTAACAGTTTTTCTGCAAATATGCATGACTTAGACTGCTGACTTCCACAGCACATATAGTAAAAAAAACTCCAATTTTACTATACGTGCTGTGGAAGTCAGCACCAGAACTAATTTCTTTTTAGGGAACTAAACATATTATGCAATGTGATTTATGGCAAGTAATGCAGAATCGTCACATTACACAAGAAAGATATGGCTTTTTTTTCTTTTCTTTTCTTTTCTTTTTTTTTTTGAGCAGAATCTCACTTTGTCGCCCAGGCTGGAGTGCAGTGGCACGATCCCAGCTCACTGCAACCTCTGCCTCCCAGGTTCAAGCAATTCTAGTGCCTCAGCCTCCTGAGTAGCTGGGATTACAGGCCTGCGCCACCACACCTGGCTAATTTTTGTATTTTTAGTAGAGACAGAGTTTCACCATGTTGCCCAGGCTGGTCTCGAACTCCTGACCTCAAGTGATCAGCCTGCCTCTGCTTCCCAAAGCGCAAGGATTACAGGCATGAGCCACTGTGTCCACCCAAGAAAGATATGTTTTTGAAGACCTTGTGTAATCCAATACTTTTTTTTTTTTTTGAGACAGTCTCAAACTGTCGCCCAGCCTGGAGTGCACTGGCGCGATCTTGGCTCACTGCCACCTCCACCTTCCGGGTTCAAGTGATTCTCCTGTCTCAGCCTCCCGAGTAGCTGGGACTACAGGCACATGCCACAACACCTGGCTAATTTTTTGTATTTTTTTTTTTTTAGTAGAGACGGGGTTTCACTGTGTTAGCCATGACAGTCTCGAACTCCTGACCTTGTGATCCACCCGCCTCAGCCTCCCAAAGTGTTGGGATTACAGGCGTGAGCCGCTGCACCTGGCCCCAATACTCTTTTTGATAAAGGAAGACAAATATTTCTTCCTGACCAGCTGAAGTGTGTAGCTATAGCTTAAATATGGGTTACAACTCACTTTGCCTAACACCTTGACATTACATCATTCGTGATGATTTAAATTTTTTTCATTCCTTTAGATAGATTTCTTACATAAAGTTATTATCTATAGTATTAATATTTTTAATTTGCATAAAATGCTGCAATCACATGGTGTATATTATGTGTAAATTAACCTGTAAGACACACATTCTTGGCTTACAGGTTAAGATACTATTTCTTGGATATAAATATTTGATAAATTATAATCATTTAAGGCATAGAATGAATTCAGTTTCAGTTGTGATTGCTAAATATTTTCAAGAGTCCACTTGTTATTCAACATTTACCATTGATTTTACTTTACATAGGTAGATCATGTTGTAAATGGCAAGTTTAGGAAGCTGTTACTAAGATATAAAATTGGATACATCTTCAGGAAGTTTCTTTTTTTTTCCCAAGTAGAAAACTACTTGATAGAAGGGAAGTGCTAAATACCAAACAACTCTATATATTTCAATATTATATCCAAGGCTATATACCTTGGGCATTCCTTTCATATTATAATACCTATTATCTATAAACAATTTTGATAATTTAGCTCTACAATGGAATTAGCCTGTAAAAAGTATACATGGAAAAGTTCTACTTTTTTTCTGTTTTTGGAGACAGGGTCCTCTTCTGCCACCCAGGCCGGAGCGCAGTGGCACAATCTCGGCTCACTGCTGCCTTGAACTCCTAGGCTGAAACGATCCTCCCACCGCAGCCTCCTGAGTAGCTGGGACTACAGATGCAGGCCACCATGCCTAATTCTTGTATTTTGTTTTAAAGGACAGGGTTTCACCAAGTTGCCTAGGCTGATCTAGAAATCCTGGGCTCAAGCAATCTTCCCACCTCAGCCTTCCAAAGTGCTGGGACTACAGAGGTGAGTCACCATGTCCGGCTGAAAAGTTCTACATTGTTAAAGGTGAGAAAATGCTCTTTTATTAAAAAATCATTCACCTTAAAAGCTGTTTGAATATATGTATAAACCGAGGGAAGTACAAAATAATTTTTTTTTTAAGATGGAGTCTCACTCTGTTGCCCAAGCTGGAGTTGTCCAAGCGTGATCTTGGTTCACTGCAACCTCCGCCTCCCTGTTCCAAGTGATTCTCCTGCCTCAGCCTCCTGAGGAGCTGGGATTACAGGTGCCTGCCACCATGCCTGGCTAATTTCTGTATTTTTAGTAGAGATGCCGTTTCACCATATTGGCCAGGCTGGTCTCGAACTCCTGACCTCAGGTGATCTGCCCACCTTGGCCTCCCAAAGTGCTGGGATTACAGGCATGAGCCACTGGGCCCAGCACTCAAAATCATTTTTCAAAATGAGAAACAGAACACCTGATGTGAAATAACTCAACATTCTTAGCACATCTTCTGTTTCTCATTAAACAAACATTCCTCTTCAGTTTGAGGGAAAAGGAATCATGGTGGGTGATTTACATACTCTGACTTTGCTCCTCACAGTGTAACTGAAATAGATTTCTCCTCTGCAGTGCAGCCACCTGTGGTGGTAGGTAGGAGTCACTAGGCTCAGTTGTGTTCAGGATATGTGACCTTGAACAAGTCATTTTACCTTCCCAAACCTCAATTTCGTCACATAAAAATGGGTGTAAGACCAGGTGTGGTGGCTCATGCTTGTAACCCCAGTACTTTAGGAGGCTGAGGCAGGCAGATCACTGGAGGTCAGGAGTTCAAGGGCAGCCTGGCCAACATGGTGAAACCCTGTCTCTACTAAAAATACAAAAATTAGCTGGGTGTGGTGGCACACACCTGTAATCCCAGCTACTCGGGTGGCTGAGGCAGAAGAATTGCTTGAACCCAGGAGGTGGAGGTGCCAGTGAGCCAAGATCACGCCACTGCACTCCAGCCTGGGCAACAGAGGGAGACTCTGTCTCAAACAAAAACAAAAACAAACAAAAAAACGCCAAAAAACTAAACCAAACAAACAAAAACAACAACAAAAATGGGTGTAATAACTGTGCTTATCCCTTATGGAAGGCTGTAATGTTTAATATGTGTAAAGAAATGAACCCTTGTCTGGTTTATACTAAGAATTCGAATGTTGGCTATGTGTTAACTTTTCTGCCAAGAAGGAGTAAAAAGGGCAATGAAGGTATTAACATTGACCCATTTGGCAGTGTGTATGGGTGGGAAAAGAGTCAGTCATCATCCCAGCAATTTTGGAAAAGAGTCTTTTCAGATCTATATGCATTTAATCATTTCTTTACGTAGACCACGATGGGGAACAGTAGTAGAATTGGGCTCTAGACCAGGCTGTATTCATGTGGGTAGAAACTGGAAACATTTGAGAAGCTGGAAATGTTTGTAATTCATTAAATTGCTTTTCTTTAAAGTAAATCATCCCTGTGGTAGTAGTAAGCAACCTAAATTTATTAATCTCAGAACAGATGGAACTAGACTACATAATTGTTTAGTCAAACTGGTTCTCAAAAAACAAGCAAGGTGGAAAAAAAAAAGTTAAAAAAATCTCCTGCCAGCCTTTCCATTTCCTACTTAATGGAAACACTTCAAGCAGTAGTCTTCTGAGGCAGGAAGGTTGCTCGAGCCCAGGGTTCAAGTCCAGTTTGGGCAACATAGCCAGACCCAATCTCTGAAGCAAACAAAACAGCAGCCCGCTCCACGCTTTCTTCAGCAAATTAGAGAGGTTAAGAGATTGCAGATCTTTGTCTTGAGGAATGGTAAGATACTAAAAAAGTATTGATAACAGATACTGAGCAGACACTCCAAGCCAGGAGCGTGCCTCGCTGAATTCCCTCAGTATCTATTGTCATCTGAACTTTACAAGTGAAGAAATGGAATCTTAGCCAGCAAAAGAAATTTTCCAAAGTTAAACAACCAGTGGGTATTAGAAGTGGGAATTCAACCCAAGCAATCTGATTCCAGAGCTCATTCACTCTCTCAGGTATAATCAATATTTAGTGCACAGCTGTCATGTGCCCAGCACTGACCCAGGCCTTGGGGTAAGGGCTGGGGGTGCTTGGTGGAGAATGGACTGTAGGTGAAGAGCCCTGTTCTTAACCGCTACAAATTCAGAATCCCACTGAGACGAGTTTGAATATTTATATTGTTACTTATATAATTGAGATAAATCTATAATTACATTATTTCTTTTTTTTTTTTCTTTTTTGCTCTGTCGCCAGGCTGTAATGCAGTGGCGTGATCTCAGCTCACTGCAACCTCCGCCTCCCAGGTTCAAGTGATTCTCCTGCCTCAGCCTCCCGAGAACCTGAGATTACAGGCGCACATCACCATGCCCAGCTAATTTTTGTATTTTTAGTAGAGACGGGGTTTCACCATGTTGGCCAAGGTGGTCTCGATCTCTTGACCTTGTGATCCACCGGCCTTGGCCTCCCAAAGTGCTGGGATTACAGGCCTGCGCCACCACGCCTGACCTATCATTATTATTTCTAACCGAAATTAGTGCTGTTGTAAAATGGCATTAGCGAAAAACCTTTCTTAAAGCCCTGTTGCTGAAGGTGGTGGGAACAATCAACTAACACACACCAATTGGAAACTGCTGGCTAGCAACCTATTTTATAATGTATTTTTCTTTTTATTTATTTATTTGTTTTTTGAGACAGGGTCTCACTCTGTTACCCAGGCTGGAGTGCAGTGATGCAATCACAGCTTGCTGCAGTCTTGACCTCCCGAGCTCAAGTGACCCTCCAACCTCAGCTTCCCAAATAGCTGGGACTACAGCCATGTGCCATTATACCTGGCTAATTTAAAAAAAAAAAAATTTGGTAGAGGTCGGGGGTGGAGGTCTCCCTGTGTTCCCCAGGCTGGTCTTGAAGTTCTGGGTTCAAGCCATCCTCCCGCCTCAGCCTCCCAAACTGCTGGGATTACAGGCGTAAGCCACCACACCTGGCCAATAATGTACCTTTCTGTGCTAACTCAATGTTCCACTGATACAGCTGGCTGCACAACCGCCTCTGAGACCATGTGACACTTGGGCTTCAGCTGCCACTGTGTTTCCACACTTGTGGCACCCCAGGTCCCCTGGCTCTGACCCCTGACCACATGTAGCTTGCTACTGACATCTACTCCTCAGACACACATGGAAAGTGTTTGGGCCTGCCCCTGCTCAAAAGAAGCCTTCCCCTGGTAGAAGGGCAACAGCTGTGATAAGGAGAGAACACTGAGCAGATGATGAAAACCACAACCGGACTACTGAGGTCTGGCACCATCAGAGGCCAGGTGGCTGGAGATGAAGCATTCCAGGATGGAGGTGAGGTCCTGATGGAACGCTGAGACGCTGTGTGGAGGTTCACCAGGATGGAGGGCAATTCATGACTGATTTGGAAAGCTTTCCTTTGGAATCGGAATTGTCAGCAAACTCTCCAGTTCAGTGTTCAGGACTGTGCAAACCTGTTTTAACAATTTTTCAAGTAATCTCACATAAAGGTCACTGTCACAGCAAATATTATCTTTTGAATGCTAACTACAATGTTTTTCTCCACCTTTCAAATTCAGTTTTACCAAGGCTACTGAGTGGACAGAGAACAGAAACACAGAAACACTTTTATACAGCTGTTCTATCTGTCTGTCTATCTATCTATTTATCTAGAGACAGGGTCTTGCTCTGTTACCCAGGCTGGAGTGCAGTGATGTGATTTTACTCACTGTAACCACAAATTCATGGACTCAAGCAATCCTCCTGCCTCAGCCTCCCAAAGTGCTGAGATTACCAGCATGAGCCACTGCACCCAGCCTTTATATCTAATTCTTTATATTCTTCCTGTTTGTTGGCCTGAGATATATATTTTTTAATTTTTTATTTTTTTTTAGATGGAATCTCTCTCTGTCACCTAGGCTGGAGTGCAGTGGCACCAGCTCAGCTCACTGCAACCTCCACCTCCTGGGTTCAAGTGATTCTCCTGCCTCAGCCTCCTGAGTAGGTGGGATTAGAGGCATGTGCCACCACACCCAGCTAATTTTTGTATTTTTAGTAGAGACGGGGTTTCACCATGTTGCCCAGGCTGGTCTCAAACTCCTGACCTCAGGTAATCCCTCTGCCTCGGCCTTCCACAGTGCTGGGATTACGGGTGTGAGCCATCATGCCTGGCCTATTTAAACACTTTAAGTTTTATTTTACTGTGTTTTTTGTTTTGTTTTGTTTTTTAGCAACAGGTTCTTACTCACCAGGCAGGTGTGCAGTGGTATCATAGCTCGCTGCAGCCTTGAACTCCCAGGCTCAAGCGATTGATCCTCCTACCTCAGCCTCCTGAGTAGCGGGGATTTTATTTTTTTAAATTGACAAATAATAATTGTACATATTCATGGAGTATATAGTGATGTTTTAATACATATAAAGTACAGGAATCAAATCAGGTCAATTAGTATATTGGTATCCCTCAGATTCCCCAGGAAAATAAATATATTTTAAAGACAAAAGAAAATAAAAAGTAGGACAAACATCATAACAATTCCAGCTTTTATTTTTTGGAAAGGAATGAAACAGTGGACTAATCCAAGTATTTACACAGACAAAGGGGCTGAAGGCAGCCTGTAGAGTCTACCAGCTGGCAGCCAGCAAAATAAACCCCAGCTCTCTTGTATTCCTACTGGGAACGCAGGGACTGCAGGTGTCCAATGTGTGTCTATGTAGCCCACACTTGAAATAAAATACAGCAAAATACAATGATGCGTAGGCAGTTCAGGTGTCGGAAAGGGGAGCTGGGGTCTATGGATCTGACATGCAGCTGGGTGGAAGGGAAAGGACATCTGAATTTACCTGACAGTTGGGCAGTCTTGCCTCCCGGCTAGTTGTGAGCACTGTGGCGGTACGGAGGCAGCAGGCTGCTGACAATCTACAAGAAACTGATAAATTAGACATGTGTACAAAGAGATGACAGAGCAAGGTGTTAGTAACAGTGACTAAAGCAGCTGCCTGAGAGATTTAGTGAGGAATGTGCATTCACACAGAAATATCCTGATTCAGCTTTTTTTTTTTCTTCTTGAATGATGCCAATAGAAAAGACAGGCTTTTTTTTTTTTCTTAAATACAGTATTAAAAAATTAGTGACACAGCATTAGTAGCGAGATTTCTCAAGTACATTAGGATATATGTGGCCATTTGTCTTTGGTATTTTGTTATATCTAAAAATAAAGGGTCTATTAATATAATGAAAGATCTTCCAATTCTAAACCTGAATGTGGTGGTGGTTACTTGCTTAGCACTTAGATCTCTTATTCCAAAATGGAACGCATTCAGATAACTGACTTTACTATCAGGACACATGGACATATTGTCAGTCCCATAGGTAACTTGAGAAAAGTGTGCAATATAATCTTTTCTATGATTAGTAGAATCTTAATTAAACAAGGAAATAATCTTTACAGTTTTCTGAAAATTGATTTTATATATTGACAATAGAATTGTTGGCAGAAATCTTAGAATGTCTATTACATAGTAAATTGTTAGTGACTTGGACTAGAAAGCTAACCTGAATGAGAACTCCACTTTGTAATTGTTTTTACCATTTTAAAGTCACAATATAACACACTAGGTTAATAAAGTGCTAGCTAGTAAAAATCAAGCTTTAGCTGGGTTAATCATCTACTCCAAGAAAGTAGTGCCTGGTGTTCTAAAAAAAAATCAAAGAGCAGTCTGTTTACTGGTACTAGGTGACTATATTAGAATCATGCAAGAAGCTGGTTAGAAATGCATATACGTCATATTTCTCCAAAAAGATTTTTGCAAACAAGTTAAAATTGGAATTAAACTTAAAAATTATTCTTAAATAATTGAAGCATTTCCTCTTGCCAACTGCTTAGACTGTATTTGCTTAGCAAATCCCTTTCCTTATATGTGTTTGTTTGTTTGTTTATTTGAGACAGAGTTTTGCTCTTGTTGCCCAGGCTGGAGTGCAATGGTGCAATCTCAGCTCACTGCAACCTCCGCCTCCTGGGTTCAGGCGATTCTCCTGCCTCAGCCTCCCGAGGTGATTCTCCTGCCTCAGCCTCCCAAGGAGCAGGGATTACAGGCATGTGCCACCACACCCGGCTAATTTTGTATTTTTAGTAGAGACAGGGTTTCACCATATTGGTCAGGCTGGTCTTGAACTCCTGACCTCAGGTGATCCACCTGCCTCGGCCTCCCAAAGTGCTGGGATTACAGGCGTGAGCCACTGCACCCGGCCTCCTTATATGTTATGTAAATAATATTTAATCCACATTATCACAAAGTCTGGATTTATAGCCTTAACGAGGCTCTACTGATATTTACATTTGAAGTCTTCTATTTAAGTATCACTGTTATATTCTGTTATAAAAAAGCCTGCCTATATAGTTACATAACTCCAGAATTTAAAATTCGAAAAAACTGCTGATGCTTTTCCAGAAATACACTAAAACTGTTTGTGATGCAAAGTAGAATACAATATAAGGCAGGCTTGATTTTTGTTCACTCAAGAAAACATTACTGAAGGAACCCTTTTATATGGTGGTCTTTGTTGCCATCTTATTAATTAGCGCATCTTAATAGGAACAAGGAGATCTGATTTTTGTTTAGTAGCTGGTGTTCGGATGATCATACTCAGTAAAAATCTTTCAAATATAACAAATCTGTTTTCTCAGATTGAGGAAATTCCTTTTTTAACTCCGTTTTCCCATTTTGCAGCATTGATTAGCTCCAGATTCCCTTTTGTAGAAACTCAGAGTCTTAAGGAATGCATTCTTTTGTCTTTTAAAAATCTTTGCTCCTTTTGTCTTCTCCAACAGCTTTCCTGCCTATCTGAGTGGTAATTTAGGAATGTCTTAGACTAATTTGACAACTATTTTGATAAGGCCACCAGACAGGCAGTTAAGTCAACCAGGTGTGTGCTGCCCTCCGATGGTGTATTTGGGTAAATGCAATGGATGTAAAAACCACTCTGGATTCCTTATGTCTTACATTGCCAGGGAGGTATAATGAAACTCTTCTAAAGCAGAGTAGTGGCCTCTGTGGAATAGCGATCCTTAGAATTAGAGTAACTAGAGTATTAAAATGGCTTACATCTTTTAAAAATATCTCATATATTTGACTTTGTTTTGCCAATACAGTCACAGATTATTATTCATTCAAAATATAATTTATGGTAAAATTCAGACAGCAGGTGATCAGAACCACAGTGTACTCCCTTAATGAAATGCTAGAGAGGTGGTAGACATTCTTCTTATTTGTAGTGAATATCACTTTTTCCTTCATTAGAAGTAACATCATCTCTGGCTAATATTTATTTTTTATTTTATTTTATTTTTGAGACAAGAGTTTTGCTCTTGTTGCCCAGGCTGGAGTGCAATGGCACAATCTCGGCTCACTGCAATCTCCGCCTCCTGGGTTCATGCAATTCTCCTGCCTCAGCCTCCCGAGTAGTTGGGATTACAAGCGTGCGCCACCACGCCCAGCTAATTGTTTGTATTTTTAGTAGAGACGGGGTTTCACCGTGTTAACCAGGCTGGTCTCTAACTCCTGACTTCGGGTGATCCACCCACCTTGGCCTCTCAGAGTGCTGGGATTACAGGTGTGAGCCACTGCACTCGGCCTATTTATTTAGTTTTTGAGACAGGATGTCATGCTGTTGCCTAGGTGGCTATCATAGCTCACTTCAGCATCCAACGCCTGGGCTCAAGTGATCCTCCTGCCTCAGCCTCTTGAGTAGCTGGGACCACAGGCACACACCACCACACCCTGCTAATTTTTTAAATTTTTGTAGAGACAGGTTCTAGCTATTTTGCCTAGGCTGGTCTTGAACTCCGGGCCTCAAGCAGTCTTCCTGCCTCGGCCTCCCAAGATGTGGGGATTGTAGGTGTGAGCCACTGCTCCTAGCCAAGCTAATGATGATTATTTTTCATTTATTATTTATAAGCACTTAGCTACGTGTTATCCTTAAAGAATAAAAAACAAATTTCATAGATAAAATGGTGATGGACTTAAAAAATTAAACTAAAATGTAGCTACATTGCTCTGACTCAGTTGTCTTCTAAATCCCTCTTCTCGGGTCTACAGCCCTCCAGTTGTGTCAATTGTAGCCTGGCTGAGCCACGGATGTGTCTTAGGATGTACTTTGTAAAATGAAGGAGGTAGGTTGGGAGGCTGAGGAAGTCCCTTGTAGCTCTGAGATGCTGCAGGCTCTGAGTGATCTCCCCTGCTCCGTCTAGGATCTATTCTGCTAGGCTCACCCTTGAAGGAACTAGACCACATCTCGTTGCTTTGGGGGGAATAAAAGATGACAACTATGTGCATGAAGGAGCAGGCATTGTAGAACCCACAAAGCCATTGCTGTTGTTTGGCCACCAGGGTTTGTCTAAACCATTCAACAGTCAAGTTACTAAACTCCTATTTTGTGTCAGAAACTGTGTTAGGCAGCAGGGGGAAAAAGGTGAACAGAGAAAATGTGGTCTCTGTTTTATCAAGGAAGATAAGCATATTTAATAAGCAACTACATTGAAGTGTGATGGTGATGGTGATGATGGTGGTGATGGTGATGGTGATGGTGATGATGACAGCATCTAGTACTTATTTATTGTTTACGATGTCTCAGGCACTGTATAGGCACTTAATATACATGCTCTTCTATAACCCTGTTTTATTAATCTCACTTCATCTATAAGGAAAGGGGAACTTAGGTTAAGTAACTTGACAAACTCCACTAGGAGGTAGAGGTGCAATTTGAATCCAGGATTGTATGGTCCAAGGGCTGAGCTGAACTTGCAGAAGTATCACTGTATTGCCTCCTATGATAGGGAAAGTGTAGGGTGTTACAGGACCTCACAGCGGAAGTTAATTAAATTAAATTAGACTGAATCTAACTAATCAAACATAACTAAATCTAACTAACCAAACACAACTAAATCTAAGTGGTTAGGGAGTGCTTCCTGGAGGTTGTGATATCTAGGCTGACATCTAACATAATGAGTTAGTCAAATAACTTCTTTGTAACTACAAACTTTTTATGGTCTTTAGTAACAGTAATAAGACATTTTATCATAAAATTAAAGTGTTTATTTGAAATGATCAGAATGGAATTAGAAAATGCTGTACGTTTATATGATAAGGCCACAGGCTTGGGAAATGTCATAGCATACTCAAGAGATTATTTATGTATTTTTTTTAGAGGCCAGGTCTTGCTATGTCGCTCAGGCTGTAATGCAGTGAGTTCAAGTAATCCTCCTGCCTCAATCTCCTGAGTAGATGGGACTACAAGTGTGTACACTGTGCCTGGCTCAAGAGATTACTAATGCCTCCAGGGCAGGGATGAATATGGAATATTATAGCTCAAAGCATCTATAGGTCTGTCTCGATATGCACAAGAAGAGTACCCTTGTATGACATTCCTCCATAAACAAGGGCCTCACGTAGAAGGGAAGATAGAAAAGAAAGGGAGAAATAAGAGAGGAAAATATTTGCTGAATCAACATGATGTAATCTTTCCTATAAACTTTACATTTGTTATCTGTTTTAAGAGACAGGGTCTCTTAAAGCCTGGTCTTGAACTCCTGGGCTCATGTGATGCTCCCACTTCAGCCTCTAAAATAGCTGGGTCGACAGGCTTGCACTATTCCTACATTGAGGAAAATAAGTGTTTTTGATAATATGGGAGAATATCATAGTCTCACATATTTTTTTCTTTAACTTCTTTTTAAAATCTCTCCTGCTAGAAACAAACACAGAATTTGCCATCACAGTAGGTGTCCTACAAGCCTCCACTGATTAATCCAAGCTCAGCATGTGTATTAACTTGCCCAAGGTCACACAGTTAGGAAGTGGCGGAACAAGGATTTAAATTTAGTCTTTTTAATGCTAAGGCCTCTTTTCTATTCACTCCTCTGGATGCTTCTCAAATTGACACCAGCTACCTCTAGAAAATATCAGGGTCATAGAGTCAAAGAAACAGAAGGAACTTTGCCAGAGATTTGAGATACTGATTTTAAGGCAACCAGCGCTCTCAAAAATACAAAGCAAAATGAAGGGTACAGGAATGAAGATAATATTGTTTTTAAAAAGAGGTGGCTGAAAATAATACATTTCATTGGCAGAGAGAGAAAGTTTTGCTGTGTGGCTTTCTCTCGGGCTTCTATTATTTATAAAATTTTCAATGCAATTTAGAAAACTAACCAATTTTCTTTTTTTTTCTTTGAGACAGAGTTTCGCTCTTGTTGCCCAGGCTGGAGTGCAATGGCATGATCTCAGCTCACTGCAACCTCCGCCTCGCGGGTTCAAGCAATTCTCCTGCCTCAGCCTCCCAAGTAGCTGGGATTACAGGCATGCACCACCATGCCCGGCCAATTTTTATAATTTTAGTAGAGATGGGGTATCGCCATGTTGGCCAGGCTGGTCTCAAACTCCTGACCTCAGGTGATCTGCCTGCCTCGGCCTCCCAAAGTGCTGGGATTATAGGCGTGAGCCACTGCGCCCAGCCAAACTACCCAATTTTCTAAAAGTCAATGCCTTAGGGAGTCCAGGAGCCCACTGGTGGCTGTTTGGGATGGGAAGGAACAGCTCATGTAGGAGACAAGGAACACTTCTATGTTTTGGCTCCACACCTGGCCCAGATGGCAGCAGTGGGCACTGGTGAGCACCATGTGAGTGAAAGCCCATCTGTGGAGACCAAACCCAGCCACGATGAGTAGTGAGGCTGCAGAGGTGGCTTCTTTGGGCCCAAGTGCTCTGGGGCAGGCACAGCAGCAACTCTTTGTGGCAAACAGTCTCCTGTAGCATCGCTTGACTCCACCTCCTCATTTTCCTGACTTGAGAACTAATGCATCCCTACTTTTTCACAAGATCGTATTTTCCACACCACATCTCTTTCCCTCATGACCATAAACAACCTCCGGATGCTCCACGTGTTCCCATGAAAACTATCTCTGTCCTCTGAGTTCTCCTCAGGCCAAGTATCCAAGTTCTTCCTTTTTTTCTTATCTTTCTTTCTTTTTTTTTTTTTTTTGAGATGGAGTCTCGCTCTGTTGCCCAGGCTGGAGTGAAGTGACGTGATCTTGGCTCATTGCAAACTCCACTTCCCAGGTTTAAGTGACTCTTGTGTTACAGCCTCCAGAGTAGCTGGGATTACAGGCATGTGCTGCCATGCCTGGCTAATTTTTGTATGTTTGGTGGAGATGGGGTTTCACCATGGCCAGGCTGGTCTCGAACTCCTGGCCTCAAATGATCTACCCGCCCCGGCCTCTGAAAGTGCTGGAATTATAGGTGTGAGCCATCAGGCCCAACCCCATTTCTTCCTTTTAAGACGTGATGTCAATTTCCCTCACTCGTCTCCTTGCTCTCTGACCTTGTTCCGGTTTGTGCACATCCTTCTAAAAATGAGGTGATAAGAAAGGAAATCATGTGTGGTAAGATATGCCCAGTGAAGAGTACAGTGGCACTGTCTTGTCTTATCTGAGACATCCCAGTCCTATTAAAACAGCAGAAACCTCATGGCATTTTTGGGCAGCCACATCACACTGCTATTTCCATTGAGCTTTGTTTACAGGTAGTGCTATAAAGTCATTTTTCCTCCATCTTACAGTGCTTGGAATTCCAGCACAATATTTCATATCCATTTAAACTTTATGTTTAAAATACATGTGAAATATTTCGCCTCTTCCTATCTGATGAATATTTTGGATCCTATTCCGTCATTTAGCATTTATTTCTCTCTTAAATCAGAAAATATGAGAATCATGACCTCGATAGCTTTATGTAAGATTAGCAATTAATAATAAGGTCAGGCTAAGTGAAGACCATATTTCATAAATATAAGTCAATGAATTTGGACCCTTTGCACATATCATTCAATTAGTTATGAGTCTACACAATTATATTATCCTCTAGAATTGATTTCTCTATTTGTCTCAAGAATATTAAAAAAAAATGCCTGGTTAATTGCTTGCCCAAGTTCAGACACATTATTTTACCATTTCCCTGGTCTTATGAGATAGAGAATGTGGGTAGTCCAGTTCAAGTCATTCTTGATGAACTCACACTGGCTTTTAACAATCCCCATTCTATAGAGAGCATTTGTAATTCATCCATTTCCAGAAATTTGCCGAGGATGAGGCAAAGTTTGTTGGTCTACAGTTTAGAGAAACTTTTCTTTTCCACCGTGTAAAAACTATATTTCTACATTTCTTCTTCTGACATATATAGGTATTAATCCTCTTACTTAAATATTCTCTTTCTCCTTAGGCACCTCTTCCTCTATCTTTCATAAGTTCATGATTTTTCAGTCTCTTTCCTTCAACAAGTGAGAAAAAAAGGGACGTGTGCTTTCTTCTTTTCCTTTCCTGTTTTGAAAATGGGCAACTCATATATTCTTTTTTTTTTTTGAGATGGAGTCTCACTCTGTCGCACAGGCTGGAGTGCAGTGGTGTGATCTCGGCAAGCTCCCCCTCCTGGGTTCACACCATTCTCCTGCCTCAGCCTCCCGAGTAGCTGGGACTACAGGCACCCACCACCACGCCTGGCTAATTTTTTGTATTTTTAGTAGAGACGGGGTTTCACCGTGTTAGCCAGGATGGTCTCGATCCCCTGACCTCGTGATCTGCCTGCCTCGGCCTCCCAAAGTGCTGGGATTACAGGTGTGAGCCATTGCGCCCAGCCCACATACTCATATCCTTAAAAATAGGCAGGAGAAATGGAAGTTGATGATATAAGGAACACACACGCCTCTTGATGAGACTCTTAGTTATTATCTTTGCTAACTTGCTGTATTCTTCCCAAGACTGTCTATAAAAAAGGTTTAATAAATTTCTTTGAACAATTGCTATCATAGAACATGCTGCTATTATCTATTTGAAAGTAAATAGATTTAAATAGATACCACTGCTATGGTTTGAATATCCCCTCCAAAATTCATGTTGATACTTAATCTCCAATGTGGCAGTATTGAAAGGTGGAACTTTTTAAGAGGTGATTGGATCATAAAGGTCTGCTCTCATGAATGGATAAATCCATTCATGGATTAATGGATTCATGGGTTAATGGATTCATGGGTTATGATGGGAGTGAAATTGGTGGCTCTATAAGAGGAAGACAGACCTGACTTAGCATGTACAGCCCCCTTGCCATGTGATGCCCTGCACCACTTTGGGACTCTGCAGAGTCCCCACCAGCAAGAAGGCTCTCACCGTGACCTTGGACTTCTCAGCCTCCATAACTGCAAATGACAAATTCCTTTTCTTTATAAATCACCCAGTTTCAAGTATTCTGTTATAAGGAACAGAAAATGGACTAAGACAACCACTTTAGACCAAAAATCTTATAAACTTGGAGTAAACAGTCAATATTCATTAAAGACCTTTCAATAAGAACAGATGATTAACAGTTAGTAGAAAAGCAAGAACATTTAATTTTGAAAGCTGTTAAGTAGGAAATTGACAGAGAGTTATAGATTGTCCTAAAATCAACACGCCATGGTTAATGATCAAAGCACAGAGACATCCTCTTTTAGTCCTTATGGGAGGGAAAAGGATATCTCTCTTTCTTCTTTCTGCAAACCTGGCCATGTTCTTTCAAACTATTCATTAATAGGGATTTTAGGCAATGACAGAAAAGGAAGAGCGGGCAGAAGAAATGTAGAAGAAAGAAGGATGAGAAATAATGGTAATATGTAATGCTTATAAAAAGTGCTATATATATATATTTGCAGACAATTTGCATGCAAAAGCTCTTGAATCCTTGTAAAAACTCTATGAGATACATTTTATTTTTGTTTAGAAATGAGAAACTAAGTTTATGCAAGGTCACTTTCTGTATTACTTTTTTTTCTGAGGTGGAGTCTCACTCTGTCGCCAGGCTGGAGTGCAGTGGTGCAATCTCGGCTCACTGCAACCTCCGCCTCCCGGGTTCAAGTGATTCTCCTGCCTCAGCCTCCTAAGTAGCTGGGACTACAGGCATGCACCACCACGCCCAGTTAACTTTTGTATTTTTAGTAGAGACGGGGTTTCGCCATGTTGGCCAGGATGGTCTCCATCTCTTGACCTCGTGATCCGCCTGCCTCAGCCTCCCAAAGTGCTGGGATTACAGGCGTGAGCCACTGTGCCTGGCCTCTGTATGGCTTTTATAATGAACAAAAGCTTTTTAGTGCCTAGAAAACTCAAGTGAGTCCAGGCGCAGTGGCTCATGCCTGTAATCCCAGCACTTTGGGAAACTGAGGCTGGCAGATAGCTTCAGTTCAGGAGTTCAAGACCAGCCTGGCCAACATGGTGAAAACTCATCTCTACTAAAATAACAAAAATTAGCTGGGCATGGTAGGGCGTGCCTGTAGTCCCAGCTACTTGGGAAGCTGAGCCATGAGAACTCTTGAACCCGGGAGGTGGAGGTTGCAGTGAGCTGAGATCACACCACTGCACTCCAGCCTGAGCAACAGAGCGAGACTCTGTCTCAAAAACAAACAAACAAACCAAACTCAACTGAGATTGGTAGTCATAATGCCCATTTTACAGATTAGAACACTGAGGATCAGAAGGGTTAAGTGATTTTCTTAGGGCCCATGGAGAGAGTGGCAGAGTGAGAACTTGTGCCCAGGTTTCTGACTGTCCACCCACGCCCTTTCAGTGGAATGGCCCATGATGTTATAGACTGAATTGTGTTCCCCTAAATTCATATATTGAAGCCCTAACTCTCAGAACCTTAGAATGCAACTGTATTTGAAGACAGGACCTTTACAAGAGGTGACTAAATTAAAGTGACACTGTTAGAGTTGGCCCTAATCCAATCTGATTGGTGTCCTTGTAAAGAAGAGAGGATTAATACATGCAGAGAGACACCAGGGATGCAGTGCACAGAGATGCGAGGACAGTGAGAAGGTGGCCTTCTGCAATCCAAGGACGGAGACCTCAGGAGAAAACAGACCTGCGGACACCTTGATTTTGAACTTCGGGCCTCCAGAACTGTGAGAAAATTAACTTCTGTTGTTTAAGGCATCCAGTCTGTGGTCATTCATGATGGAAGCCCCAGCAGACTAACACAGCCTTTGATACTTGCTCCAAAGTAGAAGCAGTTAGTGCTCCTTCTTACTCTGCCGAGAGTACTTCTTCAGTCTAAATAAACCAAGAACAGCCCAAATTCTCTCAAATTATTCAAAATTAAGCAATCCAAGAGTTGAATTAAAAAGTTTTAATTCAAGGAAACTCAAAATGAAAAAGATATATACGAAAGGCAAGAAGCACAAATTAAGAAGGATAATCTGGGGCTGGGTGTGGTTGCTCATGCCTGTAATCCCAGCACTTTAGGAGGCCAAGGTGGGTGGACCACCTGAGGTCAGGAGTTCGAGACCAGCCTGGCCAACATGGTGAAACCCCATTTCTACTAAAAATACAAAAAATTATCCGGGCGTGGTGGCGTGCGCCTGTAATCCCAGCTACTCAGGAGGCTGAGGCAGAAGAATTGCTTGAACCCGGGGGGTGGAGGTTGCAATGAGCCGAGATCGCGCCATCACACTCCAGCTTGGGCAACAAGAGCGAAACTCCATCAAAAAAAAAAAAAAAAAAGCAGGAGAATCTGCATTCGAATTTAGCAGATTCCTTCTTAGCAAAAGCACTATAGACAGAAGTGTGAAAGTGGTCAAAACAGTGGTACTGGGGGAAACTAAACTGACGGGAGTGGAATGTCAGTTGTGTTAGTAGAAAATATAAATGTCCATATACTGTGCACTGACGTGGAGATAGAAAAGTTGCACAGTTATAGAAGTTTCCCACACCCAGGAATTCTGATAATAGCACAAAGGTGCTCTCCATAATCAGTTACTAACACACTTAGATGCACTGGAGTCTTAAGTGAGGGTACATCACAATAATTTCCTTGCATTTGCCAATGATGCTTCTGCAGCCATTTCCTATGGCATCTCAGCTTTCTTCTTTCTTTTTTTTTTGAGATGGAGTCTCACTCTGTCACCCAGGCTGGAGTGCAGTAGTGTGCTCTCGGCTCATTGCAACCTCTGCTTCCCGGGTTCAGGCGATCCTCCCACCTCAGCCTCCCCAGTGCCACTACGCCCAGCTAATTTTTTAAAACTTTTGTAGAGACAGGGTTTTGCCATGTTGCCAAGGCTGCTCTTGAACTCCTGCACTCAAACGATCCGCTCGCCTCAGCCTCCCAAAGCGCTGGGATTACAGGCATGAGCCACCGCGCCTGGCCCTCTTTATTCTCTATTCTCTCTCCTCTGTGCTCTTCAGCTCTTCTCCATTTCAGCATGAAATTTAGAGTCCATCAGAAAGATCTCTGTCTCTCTTTTAGATACCAGTTCCAACAACCAGTAGCTAGGGACACTGAAGAAGTGACTTAACTGTTCTTAGCCTCAGTTTTTCTATCCGTTTAAGTGAGAACATTAAATACCAATCTTGCAGGGTTCACGTGAAGATCAGGTGAGAGAATGTTTGTGAAAGCATGCAGCTCTGAGTCCATCAATTAGACATGATGGACAAAGGAAAGGGAGGAGTCGAAGGCCCTTAAGGTTTTCAGCTTCGAGAAACAAAGTAAATGCTATTAACAACAAGGAAATAAGAAAGGTCAAAATGGATCATAGGAGAAATTCATTTCAACAAGCTATCATTATATTCATCGGAAATGCTCTTGTCTATCAGACTATGCAAAGTCAAATTTCAGTCATTATTTCTGGCCATCCCAAAAGGAGGTGTCTGCTTCCTGCAAACTCCTTTAGCACTTCTCTCATCTCCTTCGGCATTTCTTTTTTTTTTTTGAGACAGAGTCTTGCTCCGTCACCCAGGCTGGAGTGCAGTGGCGTGATCTCCATCTCGGCTCACTGCAATCTTCACCTCCCAGGTTCAAGTGATTCTTATGCCTCAGCCTCCCGAGTAGCTGGGATTACACGTGCATGCTACCACGCCCAGCTAATTTTTGTATTTTTAGTAGAGACAGAGTTTCACCGTGTTGCCCAGGCTAGTCTCATACTCCTGACCTCAAGCAATCCGCCTGCCTCAGCCTCCCAAAGTGCTGAGATTACAGGTGTGAGCCACTGCGCCCAGCTTCCTTTGGCATTTCTTACAGAATTCTAGACCCCTGCTTCCCTTGCAGTATATCTATTCTCTCTAGCCACACTATGCAGCTCCTTGAGAGCAGGCAGGACCCTGCCTTATAATTCTTCAATTCCCCACAACACTTTGCTAGGGAATTTATGTGGTGCAAACCACCTCCCTTAAAAAAAATCCTTGGATTTATTTATTAGTATCATCAATGTCACTGTTTAATTAATTCACTTGAAAGGAGAGTTTACAATTTAGACATCCCTGTCATTGTAACAACATCTTTCTAACAAAAGGAATAAGAATGGATAAATATTATCTGATAAAGATTTTAAGGTTAATTTAGTGTTATCAGATGATCAATTATTCTTCTTTGGTAACTGTAGGACTTTAATATATAAGTCTTGAAAATAATTTTTAAATTGCCATCATTTAAGATGTGCCAAATAACATAACCAGTAAATTATTCCTCACTAAATCTACAAAATGATTAATAATGTTAGTGAATTAACAGAAAGGTTAATGGAAAGAAGCATCAAAATACATTCTCCTTGTAGTAACAACTTGAACATTTAAACAGTCCTATGAATTCCTAAACAAATAAACTGAAAAACACACATATAGAGTAGAGAATTTAGAAATAATAAGGAAAAACTGAGAAAGAAATATTATATATAAAAGAAGAGCATGAGATAGAAACATTTACATAAATATTAACAGTAGCTAGGAAAATAACTATTTTCAAAAATCTAATGATGAATTTAATGGTACACTGATATGAATAAAAATGGAGAGCTGTGAAGCACTGTCAGCATTTTATAATCAAACACATAGAGTTGGCTATCTCATCCCTTTTCACCAAACGTATTACATCCCCTGTTAAAACATCAGTTATTCTAAAAGTACCCACAGATGATAGTGTAATTTCTGACTTATCGGGTGAAATCTGCTAATTTATATCACCAAACACTTCAGACATATTTACATCAGTCTTTAACACAGCAAAGTCCATTATAGCGTATACTCTTGATAGAAACAATCATTCTTCGTTAAAAATTTCCAGAGAACAAAAAGAAGGAATTGTTGAAACACATCAAAAAATTTCAATATAGACAATGCAAAAATAAGACCTGGTGACAAATCTTAAAAAGCATCTGGTTCCTCCTTCACATAAATGACAACTGCATATAGTTCATCACACTTCAGTGACAAGCATGAAAGTCGTCTTCAGCGATGTAGAATGAGAGCATGCCTTGCTAAGTAGAGAGGGAGCATTTTTAGATTTTTCAGTGGTTATAGATTTGACAAAACCTTTCACCCATCTTCCCATTTGCTGTCCTGATGAATATCAGATGACTAGCTGATAAAACAAAGTAATATTCATGCAAAAATCTATTTTTATTTCAAATCTTGCAAAAGAGAAATATAAAAACGCCCTGCAGTACAGTCAGCTTTCTATTTCTGAACAACTTACAATTAAACCATGAGCATGTGTGTTATCAATAGCTTATGGTAGGAAAGACATGGAGGATAAATGGGGAGAGGGTAATTAAATACAGTGGCACCAAGAGGTAAAAGTACATTCTGCTGCCAGATTCTTACACCAGTTAAAAATCTTTCAAAAAATAACCTTCTGTTTAGAAATGACCTTCTCAAGAGCAAGGCCAGCTGGCACAGAGTTAACTCAAGGTGGTACGATGATGGTCTGTTCTTGTTAAGCAAAGTCAATAACAGCACATATCTAATGAAGACCAGCTGTACCTTTGAAATGTCAGAATTGATGCATCATCAAAAAGAAACAAAAGAGAAATAAGTTAAACTACAATCAAGAATCCACTAAAAAGATCAATTATAAAAATAGATCCCAAACAAGAAAAACATATGAGACACCACTCAATGAAATGTGTTTGATCTTCTTGTTTAATATTTTCTTCATTTTTTTTAATCATTAAAAAAAATCACACTAGAAAATATTCTGAGAGGTTCAGGGCATCTTCTTCTGTAAATCAATGGATCTGAAAATTACAGACTTTCACCAATGTCAGTTGTTTCTTGGCTTTTTTTTTCATTTTTAAGAAAATAGGAAAGACTTATAACATGTAATCCACATTTCTGGTGGGAGAAACAATTCAGTTATCTCAAAACTAAACCAAGTGTTTGAAAATGCCTTGTCTTCACAAGCAAATTAAACCGTAAGTATAACTTGATTAAAGGAAAAGCAAAATGTTTAAATACTAGATATCTTGAAAATCTAAGTTTACAGAAGATGCTTATTCATTTTCAAAGAAAAGAATAAGAATTTCCAATGACAATCTTCCTAATGTAAAAGTATTTGATTCACAGAAATTTAATTGAAGCAAAGCTACTCAGGAACAAATCTACTAAGAAAAATTAGGTTCACCTACAGGTTTATAGCCAACTTACCTCTTTTTGCTTTTGATGTCAAGTAGTGCATAAAAAGAGAAAAAAATTTATGTTTAACTGATTCTAATGTCAATACATAATGGCTTATTCCATAAATACCTACTCAGAGTAAAGGACCTCAGAACTAGTCTTTTAAAAGATCCTATGGTTAGAGGTGAAGCTTGGCCAGAAGCAAACGGTAGCCCTTCCTACTTTAAATTTCTTTCTTTTCTTCTTTTTATTTTTTAGAGACAGGGTCTTGTTCTGTCACCCAGGCCGGAATGCAGTGGCACGATCTCGGCTCACTGCAGCCTCTAACTCCCAGGCTCAAGTGATCCTCCCATCTCAGCCTCCTGAGTAGCTGGGATCACGGGTGTGCATCACATCCCTGGCTTCTATTCTAAATGTACATTTTCAGTTCTTCTGATCCAAACTGATCACAGACTAATTTTCTCTTTGTAGTAAGACACAATCTGAAGTGCAATGAAGAACTGGGAGGCAAGGCTCAGTTTAGAGCAAAAGAATGGACTAGATGACCAGCATCAGAGCAGCAAAAAAGTCCTTAAGATGAGGAAATGTGTCTCCTTAAACTAAAACACAAAACAAACCAAGAAAACACCAATTTTTTTTTTTTTTTGAGACGGCATCTTACTCTGTCGCCAGGCCAGAGTGCAGTGGCGCAATCTCATCTCACTGCAGCCTCCGCTTCCTAGATTCAAGTGATTCTCCTGCCTCAGCCTCCCGAGTACCTGGGATTACAGGTGCGTGTCACCATGTTGGCCAGAATGGTCTCCATCTCTTGACCTCGTGATCCACCCGCCTCGGCCTCCCAAAGTGCTGGGATTACAGACATGAGCCACCACGCCCGGCCAAAAACACCAATTTTTATATCCACTAAGAATAACTTTTTTTTTTTTGAGACAGAGTCTTGCTCTGTCACCCAGGCTAGAGTGCAGAGGCACGATCTCGGCTCACTGCAACCTCCACCTCCCAGGTTCAAGTGATTGTCCTGCCTCAGCCTCCTGAGTAGCTGGGATTACAGGCGCCCGCCACTGTGCCCAGCTAATTTTTGTATTTTTAGTAGAGATGGGGTTTCACCATCTTGGCCAGGCTGGTCTCAAACTCCTGACCTTGTGATCCACCCGCCTTGGCCTCCCAAAGTGCTGGGATTACAGGTGTGAGCCACTGTGCCTGGCCAACTTTTTTTTTTTTCGAGACAGAGTCTCGCTCTGTAGTCCAGGCTGGAGTGCAGTGGCGCCATCTTGGCTCACTGCAACCTCTGCCTCCCGCGTCCTGGTTCAAGCAATTATCCTGCCTCAGCCTCCTGAGTAGCTGGGATTACAGGAATGCACCACCATGCCCAGCTAATTTTTGTATTTTTAGTAGAGATGGGGTTTTACCATATTGACCAGGCTGGTCTTGAACTCCTGACCTCGTGATCCACCTGCCTCGGCCTCCCAAAGTGCTGGGATTACAGACATAAGCCACCACACCTGGCCAAAAATAACTTTAGTTAAAATGACAGTCCTGCTCTAGATCATTCTGCAAAATAAATTATGTATTTTCATATAAGTCTTAAATGCAAATTTTTCTTTTCTTTTTCTCCTTTCTTTTTTTTTTTTTTTTTTTTTTTTGAGACAGAGTCTTGCTCTGTTGCCCAGGCTGAAGTGCAGTGGGTACCATCTTGGCTCACTGCAGCCTCCACCTCCCAGGTTCAAGCGAATTCTCCTGCCTCAGCCTCCTGAGTAGCTGAAATTACAGGCGTGCGCCACCATGCCCGGCTAATTTTTGTATTTTTAGTAGAGACAGGGTTTCACCATGTTGGCCAGGCTGCTCTTGAACTCCTGACCTCAAGCGATCCGCCCACCTCGGCTTCCCAAAGTGCTGGGATTACAGGCGTGAGCCACCACACCTGGCCACAAAATTTTCAAGTTATGGAAGTTTTTTTTTTTTTTTTAAGTAATTATTTTAAGAGTAACAATCTAATCTAGTCCTGAGAACCATCACTGACTAATTCAATCACACAAGAGGGCCGGCTCCAGAAGCAGTCCCTCAGAAGATCTCATCTGTGGACTGGGCATACTGAAGTGACATAAATAATCTATATGCCAAAAAAGAGAAAGAAAATCTCTGGGATCCAGTAATGACTAAAGTTAAAATAAACTTGGCTATTGCATGTACAGTTCACAAAAAACTTTAAATTTGTGGTATGGAGAGTATATCAATGACTATTATTGGCTGAGAGGTGACAAAGGACAATGAATTTAGTGGTTCTATGGCATCTTTATGACTTTACACTTTTTGAAGAAAACAAAGAATGGAATAGTCAACCATTTTGAGTTGTGCTTTTCCTTTTTCCTCTCATACCTTTCAGGTAAAATACACTGGGGAAACTGCCAGGAAAATTGAATAAAATCAATAGATGACTAAAGAGATGGGTGTGTGGAGGACAGAACACAGAGATATGCAAGAGGAATCCCTGAGGGTGGCAGCGATGCTTCCCTGCTCTATAACGAGTGTGGTGCACTAGGAATCTTTGCTGGTTGATGAGCTATATAAGTTTAATTACTAGGTCACTTTAAGTAGTCTAGGTATAAGTGCTATGTAACTATATTTTCACTACATCATTTCTTTCTTTCTTTTTATTTATTTATGTAGGCACTGTCACCCAGGCTAGAGTGCAGTGGTGCAATCACAGCTCACTGCAGCCCCCACCTCCTGGGCTCAAGCAATTCTCCCACCTCAGCCTCCCCTGAAACTACAGGCACACACCATCATGCCTGGCTAATTTTTGTTTTTTTTGTAGAGACAGGGTTTCACCATGTTGCCCAGGCTGGTCTTGAACTCCTGGGCTCAAGTGATCCACCCACCTCGGCCTCCCAAAGTGCGGGGATTACAGGCATGAGCCACCACGCCTGGCTCACTACATCATTTAAAATAAAGGAATGGGAAGTAGCAAGCCTGGGCCTTCCATGAACATTCTAACTACACATCAGTTGAGCTATGCTCACAGCCGGAGCTCAGGCTGCCCCTGCCCAACTCCCTTAGAGCTCAGGAGAGCCACTGAAGCCAGATTTAGTGTGTAGAAAGGTCAATTTTCCTAACCGTTTACAATGCCTCAGAGGAGTTTAGGTGGCTGTCATGTTGACGGACATTCCAGAATTAAATCAGTGGCTTCCATATTCCATGTAACAATATACTTTTAGATATGTAATGGTATACTTTTTTAGATATCAAATCCCACCCATTTTGACAGAGAAATCAAAGTGTTGGCACGTTGTCAGAATTCAGCAAGAACTCAGGAACATCACTACTCCTTCCTGCCTTGTCTACTCAGTTCACAACACACAGTCACTTTAAATCATCAAAAAAGTTTGTTTTATATATTAGATAATGGGAATTTTCCTTTTTTTAGGGGGGAAGAAACATTCCCTTTTCTTGGGAACTATACTATATGGTATAGTATGCTGTTATAAGCATACATGTTATAAGTATGGTATAGTATGCTGAGATATCATAACATTTATTTAGAAGCGTAGATTTTACACAGTGACCTCCAGACCCAGTCATGGACAGAATAACTTGAATTCATAGCATCAGAGAGTCTCAGAGCTGGGAGATGCCCTTCCAGGATTTCTTCATTGTAGGCTCTCCTTTCACATTTATAAGGAGAAATGGACAGGGAAGTAGTTGGTTAACCTAGAGATTGGCTTCTCTGGGTACCTATTGTGACTTTCTCATAATATGTTTTCTTAGTATTCTTTGCAGATAGAAGTCCCTTTGCAAGGTACAGTTTGGATATACCCTCTCAGATAATGCCTTATAATCACTGTTGTAATAGAGGTGGTTGTTATGTAGTTACAGTGGGGGCAAACAGTTGAATATAATAGACTGGTGCCAGCAGATTGGATTAAATAGGTATGAGTACAGCACAGAAGATACGGATGGCTCTCTTCCTCTGGACTACAACAAATGGCCCTAGCTGCCCACCAGAACTCTTCTTTGCTTGCAGAGCTTTGGGATATGAAGGCAAGGGAATGTTACAGGTAGATTGTTCAGCACCCAACTCCCTGGCACAAAGGATACCAAAGAAACTGTGGATTTGGTGTTGTAGGCTAGTGATTGCTGGTTGGTGGAATACGGGCTATTCTCTGTCTTGAGGGTGGACAGCACACACAGGTAGAAGGTGGTAAGATTAAAATGTATAATTGTTTTATTCTGGATTTAGACTAGTTTGTTGTTACTGGGTGGAGGCTGGTCACTTCAGTGAGCCTGAGGCAGGATCTGTGATCTAGAAACGAACCCCAGTAATGTCTCTTTCAGCTTGAGTATCTGCCTGCTGATATATATATATATATATATATATATATATATATATATATATATATATATATATATTTTTGTGTGAGCTAGAAAGCATCATTTCGGGTTTGGGCAGAGTCAGGAGAGGCAGACAGTTATTGCCTGGAATGTCCTGGGCCTCATGTATATCTCAGCCCACCTGTTCCTCCCTGTTACTCCTCCGGAAACAGCCACCTTCTGAAGGCCGCTATCCTCAGCAATGTATGGGTGGACTTAGGTGAACATAAGTATGAACTAATTACTCTTGCTCTTAAATATGTAACAATTAAGAATATCAAATAAGTACTTCTTCTTTCACTTTATGGATATATTAGAGAAAAATTATAGTTTTTCTCCTAAGGATTAAAATAAGGAACTTTCAATTTCCATGGATTTAATAAAATTTTAACAAAATCTAAAAGACTTTAAAATTACATAATGGTACTAAAATAGTCAATATGGATTGAAAAGTATGATCTAATATAAAATACACATTCTTGCTACAGAGTTTTTCATGTTGATCTCTTCAGTAATTAAAAAGTTTCATCCTTTCATCATAGCTTATTTTGCATACAATGCTCAGGTTTTGAATATGAAATCTTTTAAGGAAATGTAATTTCTGGACAGGAATACTGGACAGAGGAGAGAACAGTAAACAAAAACAAAAATAAAACAAAATAAAAACACGAATAGGACCATGGTCATCAGATGTTCTACTAAGTATTGCATTTTTGTCGAATGGGTCCAATTTGTAGCATGGAATGGTTTACTCAGTATTATCTTTATCTTCTCTCTTACTGTGGGAAGAAGGAAGGCACAAGAAATAATCAACCTTGAAAGACTTTGATGTGTTTTCAGTCTATATATATGGTATCAATAAATTCTGCTATTTAAAACTGGCAGGATGCATTTTAAACCTTTTTAAGGCACTCTCTGCTTAAAATAAGAAACATGGGCTTTTACAACTTCATTACGGTAATTAAAAAACTAAGTCATTATACTGTTTTAAGAATGTTTAAGGAATATGTTTTGTTAGGATATACCTAAGTAATTAAGTTTTTATATTGAC
This sequence comes from Homo sapiens, assembly GCF_000001405.40. Taxonomy (NCBI): domain Eukaryota; kingdom Metazoa; phylum Chordata; class Mammalia; order Primates; family Hominidae; genus Homo; species Homo sapiens. The sequence continues at coordinate 32,347,711 of NC_000012.12, read as the reverse complement.
AAGGAGATCTAGTAACAAATAAGAGATGTATGAAAAGGGTATATAGGTACAAACTTTTTCTTTTTTTTTAATTGAGATGGCGTTTCGTTCTTGTTGCCCAGGCTGGAGTGCAATGGCGTGATCTCAGCTCACTGCAACCTCCACCTCCTGGGTTCAAGCGATTCTCCTGCCTCAGCCTCCCAAGTAGCTGGGATTACAGGCACGCACCACCATGCCCAGCTAATTTTTGTATTTTTAGTAGAGACGGGGTTTCACCATGTTGGCCAGGATGGTCTCGATCTCTTGACCTTGTGATCTGCCCGCCTCAGCCTCCCAAAGTGCTGGGATTACAGGCATGAGCCACCACGCCTGGCTCAAACATTTAATATGTATCTATTTTAAAAAGCACTGCCACCAATCAGAGACAAAGCAGAATCAGCAAAATAGCACTTTGGTCTATGTCAGTTTAAAAGAAAAATGAGGGCAGGGCGCAGTGGCTCATGCCTGTAATCCCAGCACTTTGGAAGGCTGAGGCAGGAGGATCAACTGAGGTCAGGAATTCAAGACCAGCCTGACCAACATGGAGAAACCCTGTCTCTACTAAAAATACAAAATTAGCCAGGCATGGTGGCACATACCTGTAATCCTAGCTAGTTGGGAGGCTGAGGCAGGAGAATCGCTTGAACCTGGGAGGCGGAGGTTGCGGTGAGGCAATATTGTGCCATTGCACTCCAGCCTGGGCAACAAGAGCAAGATTCTGTCTTAAAAAAAAAAAAAAAGAAAAGAAAAGAAATAAAACCGAAATACATGCCATCTTAAATTTTATTTTAAAATCAGTCATTAGTTATTCAAATTTAGATTTCTGTGTGGAAATTCTATCTAGTTAAAACTAAGAAGTTCTAGAACTGCACCGTCCAACACAGTAGCCCTTAGCGAAATTAGGCTGTTGAGCATTTGAAATGTGGCTAGTTCAAATCAAGATATGCTGTAAGTGCATAATACTGAATTTCAAAGACTGAATAAGAAAAACAGAATGTGTATGTATGTGTATGTGTGTGTGTGCGTGTGTGTGTGTATATATATATATATATATACACGTATATATATATATATATACACGTATATATATATATATATATATATATACACGTATATATATATATATATATATATATATATATATATATATATATATACACGTATATATATATTTTTTTTGACAGGGTCTCACTCTGTCACCCAGGCTGGAAAGAACTAGCACAATCCTGGCTCACTGCAACCTCTGCTTCCTGGGCTCAAGCGATCCCCACACCTTGGCCTCCTGAGTAGGTGGAACTACAGGCATGCACCACCATGCCTGGCTAATTTTTGTAGTTTTTGTAGAGACAGGGTTTCACCATGATGCCCAGGCTGGTCTCGAACTCTTGGCCTCAAGGGATCCACCCACCTCGGCCTCCCAAAGTGGAATTATAGGTGTTAGCCACCTATGAATTCCATGTTGAAATGATCACATTATGGATATAGTGTGTCAATTAAAATCTACTACTAAAATTAAGTTCACTTGTTTCTTTTTATTTATTTTTTGAAACAGGGTCTTGCTCTGTCACCCAGCCTGGAGTGCAGTTGCACGATCATGGCTCACTGCAGCCTCAATCTCCTGGGCTCAAGCAATCCTCCCATCTCAGCCTCCTGAGTAGCTGAGAGTACAGGCGCATGCCACTATGCCCGAATAATCTTTTTATTTTTTGTAGAGACATGGTTTCGCCATGTTGCCCAGGCTGGTCTTGAACTCCTGGGCTCAAGTGATCCTTCATTTTGGCCTCCCAAAGTGCTGGGATTATAGGCGTGAGCCATGGTGCCTGACTTCTTTTTACTTTTTCTAACATGACTACTAGACTACTAGAGAATTTAAATTTACATATATGGTTTATATCATATTTCTATTGAATAGTTCTGAATAGAAACATTCTTGTAGCTGTCATTTTATCATTTGGCAAGAAATATTTCTATTGCACACATAGAAACATTCCAAGCTTTCTTAAAGAGCTCAAGCATGTCTTCCTTCCCCTTCATAACTTCTTCTGACTCAAAAGAAACAAAAAGATAAATGTATAGGAAAGAAGAACCCAGATACATCAAGTGAAAAAAACCGGCATGCATAATGTCTGTGGTTGTGCCAATGGTATTAACACATATGTAAAATGCATATGTTTTTATATATGTATATATTTATATGCATTTCCTTATATATGTATAGAATGTTTCTGGAAAAATACAAAAGGTTGGGTGGGCACAGTTGTGGCAGAAATCTACCATCTACTGTATACCCTTTGTACTTTAAAATTTTTGAACCATTACCTATTGAAAAATATACAGCAAGTATAAAAATGTATTTCTCAACATGTGGTTGACAATTTTGTGAATTAATATATTTTTTCTTCTTTTTTTTTTTTTTTCTGAGACAGGGTCTCACTCCATCACTCGCTGGAGTGCAGTGGCTCACTGCAGCCTCGACCTCCCAGACTCAAGCAATCCTCCCGCCTTAGCCTCCTGAGCAGCTGGGACTATGAGTGCATGCCAGCACATCCAGCTAATTTTTAAATTTTAATGTAGAGACGAGGTCTCGCTATGTTACCCAGGCCAGTCTCGGACTCCTGGGCTCAAGCAATCCTCCTGCTTTGGCCTCCCGAAGTGCTGGGGTGACAGGAATTAACATTTTTGATTTAACTTTTGTTTTGGCAGATTCCAAACTAAAGACAACATGTTCTGACATCAAGAAGTGCCCAGGCCTTCCCCTACAGGGAAGAATTCTGTGGAAACTATGTTCAAAGAAAATACAAGCCTAAGAGATTACAGGTTTCAACAGACTGCCCTTCACTCCTACTAGTTCAAGAATTGAATCCTGTGGAAAAAGACAGTTTAGTGATATGGGGAAGTGGAATACACATAAATAGAAAAGCCTCTATAGGAAAAAATATAAATTATAAAGTACAAAATACTGAGGCCATGAGTTCAAGATTGACTGATCTCCTTCCACATACAGAACATGGAAAGCAGTAAGAGCAGGTCGTGTGTGCACAGGACATGCTGGCTGATGAAATATGTAACTGAATTGTAACTTGGGACATATTTAAACATTCCTATTCCTCACAGTTTTGATTCTGGTCTCCACTACCTCTCATCTGCATATTTTATGAGTCTCTGTACCTGCTTCTTTATCTTCGATGTTACCCACATCTAATCCACTCTCCACCTTGTCATCAGGGTGATTTTATCAAATGAAAATCTGATCCTATTCTTAAAACTGCTAAGCTATGCCCGTGGTAAGTCTGCTCTCACTAACCTGGCCCTCTGTCTTCAGGTCCCTGTCCACCTTTGCAGCCTCGCTTTCTATTACTTCGAAGTCCTGCACCAGGTTGTAGTGCTGAGCTCATGGCACTGGGGCAAGTTGACCTCCTTTCCTATAAGGTTCTTCTTACGACCCATACCTGCGCTGCCACCTTCTGCCTATTACGATATAGTCACCTTTCATGGCCAGCCTTGCATTTCTTCTGGAAGGACGTTCCTAACCATCCTAATTCCTTTATTTATTTCAGGAATATCTATTAACATCAGTACATATTTGTCTCCTACCTCCCCTACCAGACTATGAGTTTTATTTGAATATCATTGTATATCAAGAGCCAAGAAAAGTGCCTGACACATAGCAGATATTCACTAAATTTTGTTACATTCTGGTGAATGAGTAAATGGATTAATGAAATAAATGTGATTTTGGTACATGCTTAAGAACATAGGCTTTGCAATACGTGAAACAAACAAATATCTACTTGCTTGAATGCAGTGAAACATAAAGGCAGTTTTTACTATGAACATGTCAGTGTGTACTGTTGACTATATATCTCAAGGGGTGATTACGTATCTAAGGCTAATACACTTCTGTGAGTTGCTTTAAAGATCAGTAAAAAGCAAAATATCACAGAAACATTTTCAGACTTCAAAATAATACCATTCTCTTAAACTAGCTGAGTCATTGTGTCAGAGAAAGACAGGAGGGAGGGATGGAAGGATGGAGGAACAGAAGGAAGGAGGAGATTGAAATGAGAGGGAGAAGCAAGATACCTAAGAGGAAAAGGGTGACATGGGAAACACAGTGTGAAGAGCAAGCTGCTTAGGCTATTACTTCCAGATTGAGTTCAAACTTGCTTCCCCAGGTTTGCCATTTCCTATTTATCATGTGTAAATGCTGCAGTCAGGTCTTTACTACAGAAATAACAACTCCCGCCTGTGAATTACATGGATTCCCTTTACGTATTCTGACAGGCTGATTGCAATTATTGATTAAATGGTAAGATGATGAGGAGGAGGAGGAAGAGGGGACGGAGGAGGAAGAGGAAGAGGGGACGGAGGAGGAGGAGAAGGATATAGGCCTAGGTAGTTAAGGAGTCAAGATAAAATGCTGGCTAAAAAATAGGCAACAATTTTGTGAAGACATACAATCTGCTGTCCAATTACAAACTCCTTGATGACAACAGGGTCCCTTTTGAGTCAAGGTCATCAAGGCTGATAGGCACTTCTCAGATCAGCTGGTAACTGAAACTGTGAAAACTAAGATGAGCATGTGGAAGGACACTGGAATTTGTGTGCCAGGATAAGGATAAAGTCAAGAACAAGAAAGTTAACAAGCAAGCCATGGCCAGAAGCACTGCAATTGTAAGGGCTGAGGTTGCAGAAGCTGAGCCAGCCAGAGGGAAACGCCAGAATTTTCCCTTAAAAGGTTGTACTAATGCAGCAAACCGATCAGTATAATGCATTAATCAATTACTATACAATATTCTACTAATGTTGAAAATCAGTGCCTCACCCTATAGTTGATTCTCCAGAATGGAGAAATTGTGCATTTAAGGAGATGAGGCTTTCTGTTTACCATCTCATAGAAATAAAATCTATTTGAAAGTAACTCTTGTACAGAATAAATAACATTTTATGTTCTGTGTCTTAAATTTTTAAACGACACATACCTCTCTCAATTCTTCAACTGAAGGATTAAAAACAAATTAAACTGATTTCATTTTTAGTTGAGGTAATTGTTTCAATGGTCCTCAATAGAAAAATAAAGCCCATATCTGCTTATTAGAATAATTAAAAATCATCTAAAAAGATGTACTAAAAATATATTTTAGGCTGGGCACAGTGGCTCACGCCTGTAATCCCAGCACTTTGGGAGGCCGAGATGGCGGATCATGATCAGGAGATTGAGACCATCCTGGCTAATACTGTGAAACCCCATCTCTACTAAAAATACAAAAAATTAGCCAGGTGTGGTGACGGGCGCCTGTAGTCCCAGCTACTCGGGAGGCTGAGGCAGGAGAATGACATGAACCTGGGAGGCAGAGCTTGCAGTGAGCCAAGGTTGCGCCGCTCCACTCCAGCCTGGGTGACAGAGGAAAACTCCGTCTCAAAAAAAAAAGAAAAAAAAACAAACCCCCAAAACTATACATATATATATATATATATATATATATATACACACACACACATATATATATACACACATATATATATACATATATATACACACATATATATACACACATATATATATACATATATATGTAAAACAATGCTTATCAAAAACATTCTGATACATTAATAGAGAATTTTCCTTTTAAAATGATTAATAGATATTGTTACTAGCTAGCAAATTTTATAATGGTTAAACTCCTGAATTTAAAAATACTCATAAAATCTACTATTTCCCATGGGCTTATGATATTTCTTATATAGAACATAAGACTGGTATTATATGTCATATTTTCTCTTTCTTGGCTTATTGAAAAGATTTTATATAGTAAAAGCATCATAAAAAATGTTTGATATGTCTTACCCTATATAGTTCAGCTGAGGGAAAATAACATATATTGGTAATAATGCAGATATTTGTAGAAGCTACAATTTATTTGGTGTGGATGGTCCGTCACTTTCTGTAGTAATTCATTTAACTAGGACCTTTTAGAAAATGTTGCTAAGATTGATTTGATAATAATTTACTAAGCGTTAATCTGGTTGATTCCACGATACATAATTAAAAATTCCTAAGGCTATAATAACAGCTTTACTTCCTTTCCTCTTTTATTATTTTAACTTTACATAAATGGTGAGAATTATAAAGGTTATCAATATGTTAAGCTGTCATTAGCATGACCTTCTGGTCTGGTGATTATTCTGAATTCCACATTCCTTATATCTCTAATTTTTTTTTTTTTTTTGAGACAGTGTCTCACTCTGTCACCCAGGCTGGAGTGTAGTGGTGCGATCTCGGTTCGCTGAAACTTCCGCCTCCCTGTCTCAAGGGATCCCACTTTAGCCTCCTGAGTAGCTGGGACTACAGGTGCCCACTACCACACCTGGCTAATTTTTGTAGAGACGGGTTTTCACCATGTTGCCAAGGCTGGTCTAAAACTCCTGAGCCCAAGTGATTCACCTGCCTTGGCCTCCCAAAGTGCTGGGATTACAGGTGTGAACCACTGCAGCCGGCCTCGAATCTCATAAATAGTAATCATTTCTAAGGTCAATGGTATTTTCTGGTTATTCAAAACTAAAGAGTTTAAGACAATATATGGTACTCTCATTCATGTATGCTAACTGACTTTAGAGTTGTAAGATGTGCACAGTGTGGATAAAGTAGCAGAAAGATTCCCAATGTGGGAAAAAGGGAAAGTGTTTTATGGGCTTTTAGTACATTGATATACCCTTCTTGACAGCAACATCAGAATGGAGCAAAAAACATAAGGATGTTCAACTTTTAACTGAGTGATCTCACTCTTGAGAAAAATGTAATAGATGAGAAGCTGAATGCATGAGGGTATTCCCAGCAGTGCTCTATAATATAACAAATAATGAAAAACTACCTCAGTGGACAAGAAGAGAAGTAGTGATTAATGTGATAACAGCATCTGAAACAAAATCTATGATACAATAACTTTAACAAATAAAAACAAGACTAGATAGCAACATGGAAAAGCTTGTGATATAATGTTCATGGCTTAAACAATGTAATGATAACAATATAAAGTATATATTCATGTAAACAAAAACCAGTCATACAAAAATGAAAACAGTTATTGTTGTTAACATTGATTATTAATTTTTAACCTTATTGAGATGTTATCTTTTTAATTAAACAGCAATAGGAGTTATTTATTAATCATACCAATTTCTTTTCTAAGTTCCAGTAGATAGTGCTACTAAATCCATTTGGAACACTAAAAAGAAGACTTGTGGGTTTTATCCGAGTTAGGTATCCTGATAAATCATTACCACTTTGGTGATTCACAGAATACTTCAAGGTACCTTCCAAGGAGGTCTAAAACAATAGGAAATCAGTTATGAAATTAAAAACACCAAGCAGTTTTTACTTTTTTTCTTCTTAGGTGTATATTTTGGCTATTACACCATTCCAACTCATTATCACTACCAATTTCCTCAAACACCTTTAGAACGTGAAATGCACTATCAGTTTCTACACCACATCTTTTAATCCCAATCAGTAGGCTGACTTCATGAATCAGATAAGGAAAGTATTAGAGATCCAAAGGCTGAGGTTTGCAAAAAGGAATTAAGGTAAAATGAAAAAAAAAATTCTATTTCAACGGTGGCAAACTCAAAGACTACAGGAGGGGCCAGGAGAGAATAGAAATGAGGATAGCAGGCTGGGTATAAGTAATAAGGAGGAGTGGTGACTGTGGCAAAGTGCGAAGCTTGCCCTAACAGCAGCAGCCACTACAGAGCTCCAACAGGTGTTGACATGCGTGAACGCAGACCTAGGGCTGCCAGATATTCAGAATCTTCCAAAAGAGGCCAGAAATACTGATGTTCATATAAAATCTCTTGAATTTTTAACTGTCAATAACTAACTTAAATAGTTTTATTTTTTATTTTCTGGCAATAGTCAAATAACAGCTGCCTTTAAGCTTACTTTGGTTTATGGGCTCCTTGTTTGCCACTTCTGCCCTATACTCACATGCAGGGATTCCTTAAAAGGATGATTTTTATTTGCAAGAATAATTTTCTCTATTTGCCATATGTCACATTTTCAAGTTAGGCCTCTTCATAGAACAAGTAAAAAGAATGAAAGGAAGGAAGGAAGAAAGAAAAATGCAAAATAGTGAAGCTAAGTGTGAACATGTTGGTAAGCATTAACCAGTGGGGGGCCTGCAATCTACAAGAACATTATACTAAGACCTAAATGTTCTTGAGGAGCAAAATCTTAGAAGGTTTTACTTTTATTCTCAATATAATGATTGAGGAGACGTTCTGAGTCACCACAAAAGGAAATCAGCCCAAAAGCCTTGTTATACATATGGCTCTCCCTTTACGGAAATTACATTAAAAACGATAAGAGAGAACTGGCCAAATCTGACCAAGATGGAATCGCCATGAGCTACCAAACTGCAAATAGGATCCAAGTGTGTGTGCGTTGTGCTTGTTGCTAATTTCCCTTTACCTATCCCATTCCTTCCAACTCTCATTTGCCATCTTTGGCTGTTAAATGGAAGTCTGTCATTCTAAGGAATATGAGTGAAGGAGGAAATGGGAAGCTAAGTGTAAGGAAGTTTTTACTTGACTTATAGGAATTTACACATCATCAAAGGTATACTCTGCAGCTGGGTGAGCCTGAGTGACCGGAAGGAAGGGGAGAGTCTATTCAACTAATCATTTGCATCACATGCACCCAAGGAAAAAATGTTTACCTGGTGGAGCCACGGTTAACCTTTTTTCCTTGCTGAGCCGGTGCCCTTGGATGAATTCACTCATGGAAGGGGGGCCCTTCAGAAGAAATGATTCTGTGGAGGTGGGATCAGGGGGAACTCTTAATAAATTCTGTAGGTAGGAAGCCCCTGAAGTCCTGGGACGGCTCTGATCACAAAGGGAAGGTGAAAATTGTCTTGCAGGAGATCCAAGAAAAATACATATAGGAAACAAAAAAGTTTTACTTTAATTACCTTTTAACGCCTCACCAGTGACAACATTATTTATACTGGCATTTAATTTTTTAAATATGTAAATCAATCTTTTTGCTTTTTTTTTTTTTAGTTTCCACATCAGGATACAACCCTATTTGGAAACTGTTCTGGATACTGGAAAAAAGATTTATTACAGTTAGTCAGCTTGAACCGCAAATAGAAAATATATTATTTGAGTCTTTAATGAAAGCTCCTAAAATAAAAATGTTACCATTAACCGAAAATACAGGGTAAGTAACTCAACAGCCAGGACTCACAAAATCAAGCCCCTAAAAACCTTACAAGTGGTTTCTCTGGGCAATATTCCCATGCCAAATGAAAAAGCACAAAAACCTGCTTTCAAGAAAAGGACTGTGCGTATTCCATCCCATTTTATCTAGATATAGACATCCCCTTTCAGTCTGTCATCAGTTTTGGTCATATGGACAAAAGTTTCCCTAAGAGAACATATTCATATCCTTGCCCCGTTAAAGAGAAGCTGATAAACAGCACCATTTCCAAAGGTACAATGACTTTTAAAATTATAACCCAGGTAGAACACAGCTTCATTCTTAATATCCACCTTTATCTACCAATTCTCAGGTTGGAGGTAAGGGAGAGGCATATTTACACATACAAAGAGTAGCAAAAATATTAACAGACACTTGAAAATTATATTACGATTAATCAAGAGGAGGGATTGGGCAGGGGGTTAGAAAGGACTACATAAACACAATTATCAAAAAGGTTTTGATCTGGAAAGACCCACATTAGCAAGACCATTTATATGCCAGCTCCCATTTTTTCTTTTGCTTCCCCTCCTCCATCCTCCACAACAAGAGCACATTTATTTTTGCAGTTAACTAAAATCTGGCCACTGCACCGTACTATGAAGATCGCTGCATGCATACCTTTTCCTCTGAGTGCCACTGCTGACCCGAATGTTGGGTGTCTGTGGGCCCTGACTATGCAGGAGGTAAGTGTCTATGGTGGGCACGGTGACTGATGCCTCCCCACTTACTTTAGGGCTGCCGATCTTGCTCTTTCCAAGTTTGCCTTTGCTGCGTCGGGACTGCTCATGGTCAAACTCTAAGTCCTCCAGCCTCTGGGTCAGGGCGAGTTTTTGCTGGATAGCCATTCGTAACAAAGTGTTCAGAGTCTTCTTCTCATCCTCTGCAGCTGCTAACTGTCTCTGCATCTCATCCAACTGGGTGACATATTCATCACATCTGGAACCAAAACAGAGAAGTGGTCAGAGGAAAATCTTGGTGAAACTGAATTTGGGAGTTAAGCTGAAAAGTAATAAATTTGACCGAAATTTAGAAATTTAGAAGACTGGTTTAAAGGTCTAGCAATAGAATGTAGATAACCCACAATAGCAGAAAACTGGAATATATGTTCATCCATACAATGAGATATATGGGACATTTTTAAAAAATTTATTATTATTTTGTTGTTGTTGTTTTGTTTATTTGTTTTTTGAGACTGAGTCTCGCTGTATCGCCCAGGCTGGAGTGCAGTGGCGTGATCTTGGCTCACTGTAACCTCTGCCTCCCAGGTTCAAGCGATTCTCATGCCTCAGCCTGCCGAGTTGCTGGAATTACAGGAGTGTGCCACCATGCCAAGCTAATTTTTGTATTTTTTTTAGTAGAGACGGGGTTTCACCATGTTGGCCAGGCTGGTCTTGAACTCCAGACCTCAAGTGATCCTCCCACCTTGGCCTCTCAAAGTGCTGGGATTACTGGCATGAGCCACCACGCCCAGTCATTATTATTTTTTAAAGAGACAGGGTCTCACTGTGTTGCCCAGACTGGTCTCGAACTCCTGGCCTCAAGTGATCTTCTTGCCTCAGTCTCCCAAAGTGCTGCGATTACAGGTATCAGCCACTGCACCCAGCCCATATGGAGACAGTCTTAATAGGCAATGTCTTAAACCCCAGGGACAGAGTTATCGTGGGGCTGCTGTGTAACAGACGAATAACAGTCAAGTCTCACACAATGTCCACTATACCTGAAGTGTCTTACAGTAGCTCTTTTTACTGTATGACATTGTATTCTTTGGAGGAATGTAACAAGTTTATTATAGGCTATGCCTATAGTATCCAAAATAATAATGTTTATAAAGAAAACATTTCCTTATCTATATTTATACGTTTTAGTTTAGTATAGATTGCAGCTGTTGGTCTTGTCAATTTGACTGATTTGCCTGAATTAGAAAACTGAGTATTTTCAATGATTTCTCAACCAGATGACAGAGCAATGAGTTGTCAAAAAACAAAAAACAGAAAACCCTGCAAAAACCAAGATTTCACAAGGTTTCATACAGATACAGCAGGCTGTCCGAAACATCTTTATTCAGGTTTCATACTTGTGCCGAAGAAGAAAGATAAGCTTAGTGATCTTTTTTCCTTACCAAAGGCAAAACCTGGCACATATACATTTGGAAGGTAGAGGTGGCGTGGAGAAAAAGCTCATTCTGAATTTTGTTTTGTTTTTTTTCTGAGTTTATTTACCCGCTAAAATATGAATAACAAATACTGTTCATGCCAAAAAAAAGTCTGTGAAAATAGACAATTTGGGGATAACAATTCCTTTTTATAAAAAATTATTATTATTTTTGAGACGGAGTCTCGCTCTGTCACCCAGGCTGGAGTACAGTGGTGTGATCTCAGTTTCTGGGGGACTCCTATAAAGCTCAAGAGATCTTTTTTTGTTTGTTTTTAACACTTTTACATGTATCAGCCAAATGTAAATTATTTACTAAATCTGCAAGTAAAGCCATAGTAATTATTCGTGAATTTTGCACCAAGTTTGCATCATACAAGATACACAATTGGTAGGATTTGGTCGGGCATGGTGGCTCATACCCGTATCTCAGGACTTTTGGAGGCCGAGGTGGGCGGATCTCTTGAGCCCAGGAGTTTGAGACCAGCCTGGGCAACATGGCGAGACCCTGCCTCCACAAAAACCACAAAAATTAGCGGGTGTGGTAGTGCAAGCCTGCAGTCCTAGGTACTCGGGAGGCTGAGGTGACGTGGGAGGATTGCTTGAGTCCAGGATGTCCAGGCTGCAGTGAACCGAGATAGCGCCACTGCACTTCAGCCTGGGTGACAGAGTGAGACCCTATCTCAAAAAAAAAAAAAAAAAAGTAGGTCTTTTTTGACACTGCATTGTGACAGCAAAAAATGTATTTCAACAGTATATTGAAAATCTCAAGATTCTGAAAACTTCAAATCAAATACATTCTTAACAATCACTTCATGTTTAAACACAAAATACAGCCGGGCGCGGTGGCTCACGCCTGTAATCCCAGCACTTTGGGAGGCCGAGGCGGGCAGATCATGAGGTCAGGAAATCGAGACCATCCTGGCTAACAGGGTGAAACCCCGTCTCTGCTAAAAGTACAAAAAATTAGCCGGGCGTGGTGGCAGGTGCCTGTATTCCCAGCTACTCGGGAGGGTGAGGCAGGAGAATCGCTAGAACCCGGGAGGCGGAGGTTGCAGTGAGCTGAGATCGCACCACTGCCCTCTAGCCTGGGCAACAGAGTAAGACTCCGTCTCAAAAAAAAAAAAAATTATAAGTAATTAGCTGATGTGATGATTATTAATCTTCATTATGACAGTATCTTCTCGCACAGTACTAAAGGTAAGGCACTTTTATATACTTTCATGTACTTCCTTCACAGAACTCTATTTCAGAGGTGATAATATTTAGCTATTCTAGGAAGTGGGGTTTTTTTCCTTATTGAAAGCTTTTTATTTGGAGGGAGACTCTCTTTGGGGTGCATAAATTCTAGAAACAACCTATTAATATTAGCTTACTTAAAAAATATTTTTATGTAATAGAATTTCTGGATCCAGAGTGTTCAGTAGGGGGCTCTGGAAAACAGCACAGAAGGCTTGCTTTTAGATACGTCAGAGTGGACTTCCACAGATTTTCTTCACACTTAGCCATCCTAGACTACTCACCGAATACACTCAACATGCACAAAGGCAGGGCTGTGAATTTTAAAGCCTTTACCCCACCTACCACACCCAGTCATAGGAAGAAAATACTGTTACCTTGTTGCAAACATTGCTCTCAGGGATGAGAAGGTTGCAGCATCTTCTTTCAAAGCCTTCAGTTCATTTCTAAGCTTCGTCATGGTTTCAGTCACCATTGCTTTTTCATTTTCATATTTGTTCTTGAGATTAGCTAGCGCCACCTCAGCTGTCTAAAGCAGAAAATCACACTGCTTACAATTTTCATATCAGGAAAATCCATCATACAGATTGCTTCATGCTGTGCCTATTATGTTCTTTTATAAAAGGAAAGTGAAATTGATTTGGTTACATTTTATATAAACATAGGTATGCGCTTTGGACACAGGGAAGTTTTTCTTTAATGTCAAAATGTGTTGTGAATTCATAATGTGGTTAAATTGCCCTAGAAGCCCGCTGCGAGCCAGAGTCAGTATCAGGAGCTAAGAGAATGACAGTAGTTTAATAAATATTTAATGCAGATTGCTGAAAGTATGCGATTTTAGGACAAGGAGGGAGCCAAAATGAAACTTTATACAAAAAAAATTTTTTTACCAATTATTTAGTAAAGAAGCACAGCTTCAATAGGAATAATCAAATTGGAATATGTTAGAACTCAAATTTTGTCACCTGTGCTCTGTGGGCCCAAAACATAGAATAAAAGACATACACCATTGTAATTTATAATATGAGTATATGATAAACTATAAATCCATGTTATCATACATTTAAGGAAAAGAAGTGATAAAGAACTAATTACTTTCTAATTTGCATACAATTTGTCCAAACAATGAAATATAGTGAAATATAATTCCTTCAAAATCTCCATAAAAGTAGGGGTTATAAAATGTTGAATGAGTTAAAACATTTGTTTGAATCTGGGATTTGGGCATGTCCGAAGTTCTTGGAATTAATAGTGTTTCAAATCAAGAGCTACCCTGGCACACACACAAGTAAAAAAACACACTGACTGAATCAATGCATAAAATCAGTGTATACTTAGGGATTGCCTGTTTGATGCATAGCACACAGTTTGCATGTTGAAGCCAAACTGGGAACACATGATTTTTACAAACTGGAAACTATAACTTTTCAAAGTGTATACAAATACCCCATACTAATGAACAACCCCATTACTAGCAGAGAAATCCATTACTAACGGGATTTCCCAGGAAGACTACCTTGGTTTTTAACATTTCTTTTTGTTGCTTGAAATGGGCAGCTTCAAACCTTCATATGCAAAGTGCCAACATCTATAGAAATAAATTCTTTCTTAATTAAATCAATGTTGGGATAGGGTACTTTGTTACTGTTTTGATTCCGAAGTAGTTTCTTGTGAGTTTTGATTGGATTTAAATTCAGATTAAAATGAGACTTTACTCATAAAATACTTCTGTATGTTCTGTAAATACTTGGAGGAATCTTCAGAAATATTACAGATTCAGAAAATTATCCACAAGGCAGAAATTGACCTGGGGAAAAACGGCAGTTGTTTAGTGTTTAAAAAGCTTAGACACATATTCATTTAAAACAGAAAAGTATGTTTAAGTTGTGAAATGTAGATGTAACAAATTTGTAAGCACATAGAATCCCATGGTCAGTATCTAAGGGGAATAAAATGGGGGATAACAGAAGAGCTAGATCTGAAACAGAAATACAAAATCATTTATTGTTTGTGACAAATACCCCAAAGCCTCAGTTTTGTTTGTAGATTTGTTTGTCCATTGACTGTGCAAAGTTTTTCCAGAATTAAGTAATTTTAAGTATCCATAACTCACTGGATTTGCTGATTTCTGCTTTCACCACTTTCTCCACACATTCCAAAGTTGACTTTCTAAATAAAAAAAGTCTTATTTCCAGCCACATAGGCCTTTGTGAGCATTCCCTGAATATATTATTCTATTTTGTCACTCCAAAGCCTCTCTACCTACTGTTCTGTCTGGAATTACTTCCTCCTCCTCTGGAAAACAACTTCTTATCCTTTAATAACAAACTAAGGTATAATTGCTTCTGTGAAGTCTTTTCCGCTCCTCTAGGAAACCTTAGTTGCTTCCTCTGCATTGTTCTCATAACTTGGATTACAGCATGTGTAACGTTGAACTGTAATTGTGTTTCTATCCTGACATCCCCAGGAGGCTGAGTCTTCTGGAAGGCAGGGACCATGTGTTAGTCTTCTTTGAATCTTCAGCATCTAGCACAGTGCTAGATGGACGGTGCTTCATAAGCATTTACTGACTTCATCAGAAGGCACTGTGCCTATGAAAAAATCCTTAAGTAAATGAGAAGATTCATAGAGACTACAGAATGCCTATTTATTTATTTTTAACTTTTAAGTTCAGGGGTACAGCTGCAGGATGTGCAGGTTTGTTACATAGGTAAATGTGTGTCATGGGGGTTTGTTGTACCAATTATTTCTTCACCAGGTATGTAAGCCTAGTATCCATTTGTTATTTTTCCTGATCATCTCCTTCCTCTCATCCTTCAGCCTCCAACAGGAACCAGTGTGTGTTGTTCCCCTCTATGTGTCTATTTGCTCTCATCATTTAGCTCCCACTTATAAGTGAGAACATGCGGTATCTGGTTTTCTGTTCCTGTGTTAGTTTGCTAAGGATAATGGTCTCCAGCTCCAACCATGTCCCTGTAAATGACATGATCTCATTCTTTTCTTTCTTATGGCTGTATAGTAGAATGCCTATTTTAAAACAGGGAGATTTCCTTTTTTCCCCTGTACCCCAGAATTCTCACCTTAACCTTAAAAACAAACATTTCACAATGTCTAAATAAATATAGTGAATGTCATCTGTTAATACTTGAAGCTATTTACGGCAATAAGCATCACAGCAACAGCCCCAACATCATGAACGTGCAGACCAAATGCATTGCTAGAAATGTGTTTTCATTTAATTTACTGAGCCCATATAGACTGTAACTCTAATGTAATGCAAATGGTACAGGTTGAGCATCCTTAATCCAAAATCCAAAATGCTTCAAAATCTGAAACCTTTTGAGTGCTGACATGAGCCACAAAATTCTACACCTGACCTCATGTCATGAGTGGCAGTCAAAACTTTGTTTCAGCCACGGAATCATTAAAAAAATTGTATAAAATTACCTTCAGGCTATGTATATAGGAATACATGAAACATAAGTAAATTTCATGTTTGGACCTGGATCCCATCCCCAAGATAACTCATTATGTATATATGCAAATGTCCAAAATCCAAAATCTGAAACATTTCTTGTCCCCCAAAACATTTCGGAAAAGGGATACTCAACCTGTACCACAAAGCACAGTGAAAATAAAACTTCAGCTAGGAATGCTTTGTTCTGTTCTGATTTCCTGTGGTACTGTTTACATCACTCTAAAGTGCTTGATAAGTCCTGTCTTGTAAACAGCTACAGGCAATTGCGGAATTCCTACTAGATTATGTCATTTATTTTTGCATCCCTACTTACTGCCTCCCAGAAAATATGTAATCAATGAATGCTTGTTCACAAATTAGTCTCTGTTGGTTGGCCAAGTGTCCTTATCTATACCTCTGTTTCAGTTAAGCATCTTGATTTTTTTTTTTTTAAGACAGATTTTCGCTCTTGTTGCCCAGGCTGGAGTGCAATCATGCAATCTAGGCTCACCGCAACCTCCGCCCCCCGGGGTTCAAGTGATTCTCCTGCCTCAGCCTCCCGAGTAGCTGGGATTACAGGCACCCGCCACCACGCCTGGTTAATTTTGTATTTTTAGTAGGGACGGTGTTTCTCCATGTTGGTCAGGCTGGTCTCAAACTCCTGAC
The DNA here is from genome assembly GCF_000001405.40 of Homo sapiens. NCBI lineage: Eukaryota > Metazoa > Chordata > Mammalia > Primates > Hominidae > Homo > Homo sapiens. Next base: position 32,330,921 of record NC_000012.12, on the reverse strand, counting down.
CTCAAGTGATCCACTGGCCTTGGCCTCCCAAAGTGCTGGCATTACAGGCGTGAGCCATTGCGCCCAGACCTAAATTGTTAATATTCAACCTTTAGGAAGAAGTCAGAGAAGTTATCTGGATGGCTTGATCAAGAATGCCCCAGGATAGCATGTCCTTGTGTAAGCCTTATCTAATATGGTATTGGTTATTTATGACCACTCTGAATCATTGGGTCTTTAAATTATAGCAGAGTTACAATAATAAATTCCTTTATTCCGACCTAAAATTAGAGTCAGATCTCTCACAAATTCTTCATTCACTCTAATCTTTTCTTTTTTTATTTTATTTATTTTATATATATATATTTTAATTTACTTTAAGTTCTAGGGTACATGTGCACAACGTACAGGTTTGTTACATATGTATACATGTGCCATGTTGGTGTGCTGCACCCATTAACTCGTCATTTACATTAGGTAAATCTCCTAATGCTATCCCTCTCCCCTCCCCCCACCCCACAACAGGCCCCGGTGTGTGATGTTCCCCTTCCTGTGTCCATGTGTTCTCATTGTTCGATTCCCACCTATGAGCGAGAACTTGTGGTGTTCGGTTTTTTGTCCTTGCGATAGTTTGCTGAGAATGATGGTTTCATTCACTCTAATCTTTTCTATTTCTCTAAAGTGACAACATAAAATAAAGTCATATTTTGCCCTTAGGTTTATATAAAACATGTTAATAGTGCAAACAATATTATGGCTTATGGTATAGATGTCAATTATATAAATAGATTTATGGGAACTAGAGATGAGGACTTGAAAGCTGCACTGTAGATGAGATAATAAGGGCGTGGTTTTCCCCAGATGATGGCAAATGGAGAAGACACTCTGAATCTGAAATTAATCCTCATTCTCCAAAGACCAAGAGCTCCCTTGACCTACTATTCACTGGCACTGCTTGCGTTTGCAGGAGGGTATTTGGTGCTTTGTTGCTTCTCTTTATCAACACCAACATTTATTCAGCACCTTTCTCAAATATGTGTCTTTCAAGAATATCTTTTCAGATAAACTAAATAAAGGTGAAAATAATTTTCCTGCCTATATTTCGCAGCACTCCCACCAAGGTAAAACTCAGGGTGAAAACAATTTCAGTCATTAAGGAGGGCTGGGAATTAGACAGGTTCATGTTGTAACATTACTACTTGTCCAGAAGGACAAGATCAATAGCTAGGAAAAGCTCCCTATTACTTAACCTCTGACCCAGGTGGGTTAACATCCCAAATGAACCTAAATTTCAGATACGTGGTCAGTAGCACAGGTAGAGCTCATTCTTATACTCTCTCACACACACTCTCTATTATTTCCTTGCTAAAGTGGCCCCAAACTATTTAATTTGTTGGTAACAATCTGTCTGGCTTTGTTTCTGTTACTCACTCAGGTCCTCACAGTTGTCTTGCCTTTCATCCCTGACTTATTCATTTATTTAGCGCTCTTGTTTCTCTAAGTTTGGGATGAAGGACAAAACACTCCTTTTAATCTTGCTATACTTGGCTGGGCGCGGTGGTTCATGCCTGTAATCCCAGCACTTTGGGAGGCCGAGGTGGGCGGATCACTTGAGGTCAGGAGTTCGAGACCAGCCTAGACAATATGGTGAAATTCTGTCTCCACAAAAAGTTAGCCAGGCATGGTGGCACATGCCTGTAATCTCAGCTGCTTCGGAGGCTGAGGCATGAGAATCGCTTGAACCCAGGAGGCGGAGGTTGCAGTGAGCAGAGATGGCGCCAGTGCACTCCAGCCTGGACAACAGAGCGAGACTCTGTCTCAAAACAAAAATAAAAAATAATAATAATAATAATTTTGCTATACTCCTAGAAATTGAGTCTTGAATCTGAACCTCCAGCTCCAAAGCTGGGGTCCAGTTATTGGCCATCAGACCTTCTTCACCATATGTACCCAGATTTCCCTCTGTTTGCTCTAGCTGCCTGCTGGGTGTTTGTCTTTCTTGCTGTATCGCCCTGGTTGGTGTAACCTGCCTTGCCAGCCTATTCTGCCACCCTCCATCTCCTGTTTCCACAGCCACTCACTGCCAGGCTTCAGCCCAGCACCGCCTGAGCTGCCTTTCTACATCTGCAGAAAGGCATCTAGATCTTCTCCTGTGTTCCTGCTTTAAGTTCCTCACCTCTGCCTCCACCTAACTGGGCACAGGTATTTCATCATTTAAAAACAATAATTATTATGACATTCTGATCTGGCACTGGGACAGTTTTATTTATCCACTTACCAAGAATCTGAACTCTCATCTTGACGATACTCGATACTCAATAAAATTAGGGAATAAATTAGTTAAGAAAGCTTTGACTGGCATGCTTTCACCAGTAGAATGAGATTACCTGCTTGTTGGCTTTCAACACCGCCCTCAATGTGGCGATCTGCTCCCGTTTGGTGCTCAGCAGGGACTTTAGCTTGAGGATCTCTTCCATTAAGGCTTCCTTGTCTTTATCAATCATGGGGGCTAGCTCCCGAGCCGCTGCTCTTTGACGAGACAGTTGCAAGGACCGGTCCACAGCTTTCTGCAGATGCTTGATTTGGTCCCGGATTATGGCATTAAGGTTGTAGATATTCATTGGCTCTTTGCGGATGTCACTTGTATCCAATACTGGAGATGACGGTGGGGCAGTAATAACAGGAGAGATTGTGGGGGTCTTAGTTGGACTTGGTTCTTTGCTGGCCTCTGTGCTTTCTTTTGCAACTGGTTCAGATGAGGTCCTTGTTTCTACCGGGGATGACACACCCCGCCTGGCTAATCGTGGGGACAAAAGTCCTCTGGGATCATCGGGCCCTTTCAGGCTGCCACTGCGGGTGACTCTGCTCTGCCTATAGTAATCCAGCATGACCCTGTTGGGAGTTTCATTATTACATAGACACACATGGTGGTAAAGCTGAGCTAACTCCTCACTGAATGTCACTAACTCATCCTGGGCCGTATTAAGGGTACTGTGATTTTCGTTGGCTATGCTGGTCATCTTTTGCAACTCCTTCTCCATGTGGGCCATCTTCTCACCACTCTCCTTGGTGGTCTTCTCAAGGCTTGTCACCTGCTCATCATACATCTGGATTTTACTCTCATACTTGGCCTTCTCATCAGTGTAGTTTTCTACAGATTTATTATATTTCTCCTTTAAGGCCTTAATTTCAGCTTTCAGATCAATCACCTCAGTTACTGCCACCCTGTATTTGCATTCAAGGATCTCTAAACCATTGATGTCCACCTCATAGTCATGGGCCTCCTCCCCTGAGTCCCGGCCCTTCTCCCCGTCCAGCTCAGCCTTGAGCTCCTTGCTGCTTTGCAGGCCCCTCATGGCATTGACGTGCTCTGTGAGCCGGTGCACCCGCTCATGCTGCTCCGTCAGTGCCCCCTTGGTGTGTTCCAGCTGTGTCTGTGACTCCTGTAGGTTGGCCAAAAGAATGGCCTTTTCCCGCTCTACCTGCAATGGCAAAAGAAAGTTTCTGAATCACCTCAAGGCAGCACCAATGATGAACTTAATCCATTCACAGTCGGGCATGTATACACTTAAAATCACTGCAGCAGAGCCAATGTTCCCACTATTTCAAATTAAATTGGAGTGTTTTTTATTTCAGCAGTTCTGGTAAGTCAATCTAAAAGTACATAATTCTAAAAGAATTATACTGCAAGTAGTTACCCATCAATTTCGCTTGTATCATACACATATACTGACGAAACTTCAATGTTATTAGAACAATCTTATTTTGATTTTTAACACCTTGCAGAAAACAACATGACTTTAAGAGATAAGCATAGGACTGGTGTTATTTTTATTTTGAGTGCCTTAGAGTACATCTGCTTTTCAGATCATAAGTGACTGTATCAGGGTGCCTATGAATCAATCATCTTTTCCTTCCCAGAGCTCAACCCCAAATCAGGTTTAAAACCTAAGGCTTTAACTCCCTAAATAATGCTGAGTACTTTAACCATCCCCTTAAAAATAAGCATTTAGTCCCCAAAATAAACACGCACTACATTTGATAGTTTTTATCTTTTTTTAAGACAGGGTCTCGCTCTGTCACCCACACTGGAGTGCAGTGGCACAATCAGGGCTTACTGCAGGCTCTGCCTCTCAGGCTCAAGTGATCCTTCCACCTCAGTGTCCTGAGTAGCTGGGACTACAGGTATGCACCACCACACCTGGCTAATTTTGTGTGTGTGTAGAGACAGAGTCTTGCTATGTTGTCCAGGCTGGTGTTGAATGCCTAGGCGCATGTCAGCCCCCTGCCTCTGCCTCCCAAAGTACTAGGATTATAGGCAGGAGCCACCACGCCCAGCTTTGATGGTTTCTAATATAAAAGTCAAAGAATACATACAGAATTTTAGGGCTAAAAGAACAACTTATAAGTCAATTCAATTCCTTCAGTCCAAAATAGGAATTTTAAATATTAGTAATTAATTTGAATAATGTGATATGTAAGTATTACCGTGTGATGAAAAACACTCAGGTGTCCATATAAAATACTGTCTCATTAAACATAGGTATATAAGAAATTGCAATGTGGAAAAATTTTAAACCATTTTCTCTCCTTCCATATGGGTGAATATTATGAATTATGAGTTTTTACATTTATAATGTAAATGTTTCTCAATAACCAAATAATATTGTTTACATTATTGTTCTATAAGAAGTATCATGGTGTTCATATCCTTCTGCACTTGTGTTTTCTTTTCTTTCTTCTTCTTTTTAAAAAATAAACCATCATGAGATCTGCTTTAAGAGCAATGAATTGATGCTGAATGTCTTCATATCTAAAGGAAAGTATCTATTCAAACTTTCTTTTTTTTTTTTTTTTTTTTTGAGATGGAGTCTCACTCTCTCCCAGGCTGGAGTGCAGTGGCGCGATCTCGGCTCACTGCAAGCTCTGCCTCCCAGGTTCACGCCATTCTCCCACCTCAGCCTCCCCAGTAGCTGGGACTACAGGCGCCCACGACCACGCCCAGCTAATTTTTTTGTATTTTTAGTAGAGCTGGGGTTTCACCGTGTTAGCCAGGATAGTCTCGATCTCCTGACCTCGTGATCCGCCCACCTCGGCCTCCCAAAGATTACACTCCCAAAGATTATAGGCGTGAGCCACCGCGCCTGGCCCAATTCAAACTTTCAAACTTCCTGGATCATACATTAAATCCCTCTGAACTCTTCTAAATCCCTAGGTGGCAAGTAAAATTATTATAATTAGATATAATAAATATTAATCATTAAGTATGGTTAATATTTTAAAACTAGCTTATTACTTTAGGATACACATGTGTATATGTAAATGTATAATAGAGTAGAGTAGTATTTTTATGATCCTTTATGGAACCTAATGCCCCTCATTTAACTTTCATGGTAGTCCTCTCTTGGCGAGGTTCTGATATGGGTAAGTTTCAGTTACTATGCTTTAGTTAAAACACCAGCTACTCCTCAAACCATGGTCCAAATTTCAATGACCAAATATATTGATTGTGAGCAATGCATAACGCACAATCTTTGCTGCCAGCACTTCAGTCTATAAAATCACTACATAACATCATGACCAACGGCCAATGACACCACTTCATTCAAAGTCGGCCAGTGATTGGTTACTACGTATCTGTTATTCAGTTCACTCATAGACAGCTAAGGATGTAGTTGCCTTGTCTTGTCTCCTAGTGATAAATCCATGTGATGTTTTACAAAAATGAATTACAAGAAAGAAAGGACAGCAACAAAGAGTGACAATGTTGGAAATGAAATCTGAAAAAAAAAAAACATAAATGGAGCCAGGTGCAGTGGGGTGTGCCTGTAGTCCTAGCTACTCCAGGGGCTGAGGCAGAAGCATTGCTTGGGCCCAGGAGCTGAGGCAACATAGTGAAACCCTGCCTCTAAAAAAATCCCCAAAACTACCTAAATGGAGTTATAGAAGAAATAACTGAATATGGAAATGTTGACACTAATGCTGTTTGAGGGACTTTAGATGTTCACCCAAAGAAATTTAGTGGAGGCAAATTTTTCAATCTATTAAATGAAAAAGTACAGTATGGCCGGGTGTGGTGGCTCATGCCTGTAATCCCAGCACTTTGGGAGGCCGAGGTGGGTGGATCACGAGGTCAGGAGTTCAAGACCAGCCTGGCCAAGATGGTGAAACCCCGTCTCTACTAAAAATATTTTAAAAAATTAGCCGGGCAAGGTGGCACGCACCTGTAATCCCAGCTACTGGGGAGGCTGAGGCAGGAGAATTGCCTGAACCCGGGGGATGGAGGTTGCAACGAGCCGAGATTGTGCCACTGCACTCCAGCCTGGGCGACAGAGTGAGACTCCATCTTCATCTCAAAAGAAAAAGAAAAAGAAAAGTACAGTACAGTAGTTGCAAAAAGGATGAAAATGTCGAAGAGGAAGTGATGCTGGCACATTAAAGGTACTCACAAAGATATTTCCAGATGTTTAAAGTGCAGAGGATAAAATGTTGGAAGGTGATCCAAACTTAGAAATGAGGATGACAATTTGCCAAAGCATAGAAAAGATTCTTGCTCAGTGTCCTAAGTTTTTTTTTTTGTTTTTTTTTTGAGATGGAGTCTAGCTCTGTCACCAGGCTGAAGTGCAGTGGTGTGATTTACGCTCACTGCAACCTCCGCCTCCCGGGTTCAAGCGATTCTTCTGCCTCAGCCTCCTAAGCAGCTGGGACTACAGGCACACGCCACCACACCTGGCTAATTTTTGTATTTTTAGTAGAAATGGGGTTTCACCATGGGGTTTTTAGTAGAAATGGGGTTTCAGCCTGGCGGCTGGTCTCGAACTCCTGACCTCGTGATCTGCCCACCTCGGCCTCCCAAAGTGCTGGGATTACAGGCGTGAGCCACCGCGCCCGGCCCTAAGCTTTATGGGAAGGCAAGATCAAAATACTCTTGATAAGCTGTTTACAAAGAAATAAAAGGTTAACTCTCAATATTCCTAATGTTTTAAATTATGAAGTACTAAGTAGTTTTACTATATTTTCATTTCTATATATATTTATAACCAACAGTAAGAGACTTTTTAATGTTTCACAAAAATATTTAAAGATCACAAAACAATTGTAAATTTCCCCATTAATTATTAAGTTTGTTTTGCATGGTTTCAGTTTGCATGACCATTTTTTACTGTCCCAGACTACTATGCAAACCAAGGACTGCCTGTATAGTATGATCACATATATTAGAACCTAAGATACAGTTTTGTTATCTCAAGGTGTTATTTAGAGGCTTTTAAGTTGTAGCTCTGATTTTATGACATAGTGTTTGTCCATACCTATGAAAGGAAAGCAACCCACAAATTATATATTATGGCTGCAGAAACCAAATTATTCCCAAATGATAGTACTGCAGGTAAAGAACTGGGCCTGTGGCATCAGAGAACACTGGAGTCAAATCTCGGGACCAACATTTACTTAGCTATGTGACTCTGAGAAAGCTTCAGTTTGGTAACCTATGCAAGGAGCACAGTAACGCCTCATAGGGAATTTTGATGATGAAGTGAGTTAGTGAATTTAATACTGAAGGTTCTACAATGTTAGCTATTGTGAACAATTGGTTAGCTGTGGTCCACCTCCCACAACCAAAATGTTTTTACATGGCAAACACATCTGTTCTCACAATTTTGAAAATTTTATAAAAGCAACTCTTTCATTTTAGAGTCAGGAAATATTTGAATACAAATCTTAGCTGGATTTCATTAGTTATAACAGACTGTATCTCCAGAGGTGATGATGAATTTGCTTACCCAGACTATTTGGGCAATAGTTTTCAGTGAAAAACCTGGTAATTATGTAATATGGTATTTCATGAATAGCCATGTCATTTGAATTTTTCATAAAGGAGATGGAAAATCTCTATTCTATACAATCTCAGTGAAAACTGATTATGTCAGAAGTGTTTTTGTTTTCCTTTTTTCCTTTGAAAATTAAGCAAATTTGCACTGGAAAGTGTAAACGTTATTCAATTAGTACACATGATTACAGATAAGGCTGTTTCCAAAACGCCCTTCAAAAGGAAAGGCCTCTGGATCAAATAAATATTGGATCAAAACAAAATGTACTGAATGTGTCTGAAGCTTGTTTTAGCAGCAAAAGTGTTATGATGAATAAGGTCATGCCTTTAGAACAGCCTTCAATCTGGACTCTGACAGTTGAGATTTAATATAAACATTTTCTAAGCCTAAAAAGGTAAGTCTACAGTGTCTTCACGATAGCATCTCCAGAAAACATCAAATAGAACACTGTCTCTTGCATGTGTGTTTCCTCCCTACACAACAGGAGTCCCCAACTCCCAGGCCTCTGACCAGTACCAGTTTGTGGCCTATTAGGAACCAGGCCACACAGCAGGAGGTGAGTGGCAGGCGAGCAAACATTACCGCCTGAGCTCTGCCTCCTGTCAGATGAGTGGCAGCATCAGATTGCCATAGGAGTGCGAACCCTATTGTGAACTGCGCATGCGAGGGATCTAGGTTGCAAGCTCCTTATGAGATCTAATGGCCCCAGACCACCCGCACCCTATCTGTGGAAAAATTGTCTTCCATGAAACAGATCACTGGTCCAAAAAAAGTTGGGGACTGCTGCTATACAGTACTACTTTCTATATTTAATACGTTTCTGCTGAAATCAATTGAATAGGAAATTGTATCCAAATTACATATATATTACACACATATGTAAATATATATTATACACATATAAATATATCATATCTATCTATCTATATATATTTCTCCCAGATAATTAAGTTTGGCCTGACAAAAAAATTACTAAAATACAGGTAATTTTGTAAAACTCCAACACTGTATTTTCACTCAGCTATTAAGGCTTAGAGTACCTTAAATGGTATTTGGATTTCAAAGAGCAGATGCTTAAACTGTTTTATTTATTTATTTATTTATTTTATTTTTTTGAGACGGAGTCTCACTCTGTCGCCCAGGCTGGAGTGCAATGGTGTGATCTCGGCTCACTGCAACCTCCGCCTTCTAGGTTCAAGTGATTCTCCTGCCTCAGTCTCCCAAGTAGCTGGGATTACAGGCGTCTGCCACTGCGCCTGGCTAATTTTTGTATTTTTAGCAGAGACAGAGTTTCACCATGTTGGTCAGGCTGGTCTCGAACTCTTGACCTCAGGTGATCCACCCGCCTTGGCCTCCAAAAGTGCTGGGATTACAGGCGTGAGCCACCGGGCCTGGCCTAAATTGTTTTAGATTTAGTGCTCTGAATGAATAAAATGCAAAGCACTTTAAAGCTTAAAATTACTATACATTTGAAGTGTTACTATTTTAATTTCCATTTGTAAAGAATTTATCCAAGAGAGAGTTGAGGGGTTTATTATAATCTTCTGTAGTGACTGAGAATAGTTGTCTTATTTCTCTTCCTACAATCTTCATTTTCTGTCTGGAACTGGAGATTTTATTTTTTCACAGAAGAGCTGGTTGTTCTGCCAGAAAACCTGACTTCAGTATTTGTAAACTGTTTAGTGTAAGTATACAACATATGTTTACTATGATTATTGTTGTTCCTATATCCCATAGAAATTATTTTTTACTTCACTGAGTGTTTACCTTTTATTTTTTATTTATTTTGAGACAGAGTCTCACTCTGTCGCCCAGGCTGGAGTGCAGTGGTGTGATCTTGGATCACTGCAACCTCTGCCTCCGGGGTTCAAGCGATTCTCCTGCCTCAGCCTCCCGAGTAGTTGGGCTTACAGGGACGTGCCACCACGCCCGGCTAATTTTTGTATTTTTCACAGAGACGGGGTTTCACCATGTTGACCAGGCTCATCTCAAACCCCTGACCTCAGGTGATCTGCCCACCTTGGCCTCCCAAAGTGCTGGGATTACAGGCGTGAGCCACTGTACCTGGCCTAAATTGTTTTAGATTTAGTGCTCTGAATGAATAACATGCAAAGCACTTTAAAGCTTAAAATTACTATACATTTTAAGTGTTACTATTTTAATTTCCATTTGTAAAGAATTTATCCAACAGAGAGTTGAGGAGTTTATTATGATCTTCTGTAGTGACTGAGAATAGTTGTCTTATTTCTCTTCCTACAATCTTCAGTTTCTGTCTGGAACTGGAGATTTTATTTTTTCACAGCAGAGCTGGTTGTTTTGCCAGAAAACCTGACTTCAGTATTTGTGAACTGTTTAGTCTAGTGTAAGTATACAACATATGTTTACTATTGTCATTGTTGTTCCTATATCCCATAGAATTTTTTTTTATTTCACTGAGTGTTTACCTTTTATTTTTTATTTATTTACTTATTTTGAGACGGAGTCTCACTCTGTCGCCCAGACTGGAGTGCAGTGGCGTGATCTTGGATCACTGCAACCTCTGCCTCCCAGTTCAAGCAATTCTCCTGCCTCAGCCTCCCGAGTAGCTGGGATTACAGGCACGTGCCAACACACCTGGCTAATTTTTGTATTTTTAGTAGAGATGGGGTTTCACCATGTTGGCCAGGCTGGTCTTGAACTCCTGACCTCATGTGATCTGCCCGCCTCGGCCTCCCAAAGTGTTGGGATTACAGGTGTGAGCCACCGTGCCCAGCCTCAAAACCTTTTTATAAATAGAGATGGGGTCTCTCTATGCAGCCCAGACTGATCTTGAGTTCCTGGCCTCATGCAATCCTGCCAACTTGGCTTTCCCAAGTGCTGGGATTACAGGTGAGAGCCACCCTGCCCAGCCAAGTCTTTTGACTCTCAGTTTGACACTTAAATGATCATGTGATTCTTCTAACAGTATACATAGCATCGATATGCACAAACGGAACTCCTAAATAATTTGTTCTTCTCTGCTTGAAGAGAAACAACTCTGATAATGCATATCTGTGCCCCAACAAAAGATAATTCTATGAAAAAAGATCAAGATAGAACAAAGAAACTCTATATGAGGGAATTCATCAGTTGTTAAAAGTGTCTACTTTAGAGTGTGTGGTGAAAAGAAAATTCATGCACACTAACACACAAAAGTCAGTCAACTGGACGAAGACTAAAAAAGATGGAGGGAGAGGGGCCCTTCCCAACTCTTATGAGACCAGTATTACTCTGATACCAAAACTAGAGAAACAGCACTTTGGGAGACCAAGGCGGGAGGATCACTTGAGGTCAGGAGTTTGAGACCAGCCTGAACATGGTGAAACCCCATCTCTACTAAAAATACAAAAATTAGCCTGATGTGGTAGTGGGCACCTGTAATCCTAGCTACTTGGAAGGCTGAGGCAGGAGAATTGCTTGAACCTGGGAAGCAGAGGTTGCAGCGATCCAAGATCACGTCACTGCACTCCAGCCTGGGCAACAGACCAAGACTGTTTCAAAAAAGAAAAAAAAACGAAACTAAAAAACAAACGACCTCTCCCTCCCAGAGAAACATATTATAAGAAAAGAAAACTAAAGACCAAGACCTCTTATGAATATAGACACAAAATCCTCAACAAAATACTAGCAAACTGAATCCAGCAACATAACCAAATGCAATCATAGAAACACAATGTTGATTTAACATTCAAGAGTCAATAAATATAATATACCATACTAATAGAATACATGACAAAAACCACATGATCATCTCAATATATGAAGAAAAAGCATTTGACAAAATTTAATATCCATTTGTGATAATAAAAAAAAGTCAACAATCTAGTCATAGAAGAAAACTCCCTCACCCGGATAAAGGGCATCTATGAAACACCCAGAGCAAAACAAGGATGGCTGCTCTTGCCATTTTTATTCATCATTGTACTAGAGTTCTAGCCAGGGAACTTAGGTGAGAAAATCAAATAAAAGGTATTGAGATTGGAAAGAAAAAAGTAAAATGATCTTTATTTGCAGATGACGTGCTCTTGTAAATATTAATAGAAATTCTTAAGGAATTCACTAAGAAACAACTATTAGGACTAATAAGCAAGTATAGCAAGGTGGCAGGATACAAAATCAATATACGAACATCAGTTGTATTTCTATATACTAGCAGTGAAAAATGAAAAATAAAATTAATAAAACAATTGCTTTTATAGCACTATCAAAAAATAATATACTTCAGAATAAAATTTTTTTTTCAGATGGAGTTTCACTCTTGTTGCCCAGGCTGGAGTGCGATGGCACGATCTCAGCTCACTGCAACCTCCGCCTCCCAGGATCAAGCGATTCTCCTGCCTTAGCCTCCCAAGTAGCTGGGATTACAGGCATGCGCCACTACGCCTGGTTAATTTTGTATTTTTAGCAGAGATGGGGTTTCTCCATGTTGGTCAGGCTGGTCTCAAACTCCCGACCTCAGGTGATCCACCTGCCTAGGCCTCCCAAAGTGCTGGGATTACAGGTGTGAGCCACCGCACCCGGCAGGAATAAATTTAACAAAAGAAGTGCAAAATGCAACCATTCTTATACACCAATAACAGACAAACAGAGAGCCAAAGCATGAGTGAACTCCCATTCACAATTGCTTCAAAGAGAATAAAATACCTAGGAATCCAACTTACAAGGGATGTGAAGGACCTCTTCAAGGAGAACTACAAACCACTGCTCAATGAAATAAAAGAGGATACAAACAAATGGAAGAACATTCCATGCTCATGGGTAGGAAGAATCAATATCGTTAAAATGGCCATACTGCCCAAGGTAATTTATAGATTCAATGCCATCCCCATCAAGCTACCAATGACTTTCTTCACAGAATTGGAAAAAACTACTTTAAAGTTCATATGGAACCAAAAAAGAGCCTGCATCGCCAAGTCAATCCTAAGCCAAAAGAACAAAGCTGGAGGCATCAGGCTACCTGACTTCAAACTATACTACAAGGCTACAGTAACCAAAACAGCATGGTACTGGTACCAAAACAGAGATATAGACCAATGGAACAGAACAGAGCCCTCAGAAATAATGCTGCATATCTACAACTATCTGATCTTTGACAAACCTGAGAAAAACAAGCAATGGGGAAAGGATTCCCTATTTAATAAATGGTGCTGGGAAAACTGGCTAGCCATAAGTAGAAAGCTGAAACTGGATCCCTTCCTTACACCTTATACAAAAATTAATTCAAGATGGATTAAAGACTTAAATGTTAGACCTAAAACCATAAAAACCCTAGAAGAAAACCTAGGCAATACCATTCAGGACATAGGCACGGGCAAGGACTTCATGTCTAAAACACCAAAAGCAATGGCAACAAAAGCCAAAATTGACAAATGGGATCTAATTAAACTAAAGCGCTTCTGCACAGCAAAAGAAACTACTATCAGAGTGAACAGGCAACCTACAGAATGAGAGAAAATTTTTGCAACCTACTCATCTGACAAATCTGGATCTAATATCCAGGATCTACAATGAACTCATACAAATTTACAAGAAAAAAACAAACAACCCCATCAAAAAGTGGGTGCAGGATATGAACAGACACTTCTCAAAAGAAGACATTTATGCAGCCAAAAAACACATGAAAAAATGCTCATCATCACTGGCCGTCAGAGAAATGCAAATCAAAACCGCAATGAGATACCATCTCACACCAGTTAGAATGGCGATCATTAAAAAGTCAGGAAACAACAGGTGCTGGAGAGGATGTGGAGAAATAGGAACACTTTTACACTGTTGGTAGGACTGTAAACTAGTTCGACCATTGTGGAAGTCAGTGTGACGATTCCTCAGGGATCTAGAACTAGAAATACCATTTGACCCAGCCATCCCATTACTGGGTATATACCCAAAGGATTATAAATCATGCTGCTATAAAGACACATGCACACGTATGTTTATTGTGGCACTATTCACAACAGCAAAGACTTGGAACCAACCCAAATGTCCAACAATGATAGACTGGATTAAGAAAATGTGGCACATATACACCATGGAATACTATGCAGCCATAAAAAATGATGAGTTCATGTCCTTTGTAGGAACATGGATGAAACTGGAAACCATCATTCTCAGCAAACTACCGCAAGGACAAAAAAACCAAACACAGCATGTTCTCACTCATAGGTGGGAATTGAACAATGAGAACACATGGACACAGGAAGGGGAACATCACACACCGGGGACTGTTGTGGGGTGGGGAGAGTGGGGAGGGATAGCATTAGGAGATATACCTAATGCTAAATGACAAGTTAATGGGTGCAGCACACCAACATGGCACATGTATACATATGTAACAAACCTGCACGTTGTGCATATGTACCCTAAAACTTAAAGTATAATAATAAAATTTTAAAAAAAGAAAAAAAAAAGAAGTGCAAAATGTATACAGATGCTCCTCAACTTGTGATGGGGTTACATCTCAATAAAACCATTGTAAATTGAAAATATCCTAAGTATGGCCAGGCGCATTGGCTCATGCCTGTAATTCCAGCACTTTGGGAGGCTGAGGCGGGTGGATTGCCTGAGGTCAGGAGTTTGAGACCAGCCAGGCCGACATGGTGAAACTCCGTCTCTACTAAAAAATAAAAAATAAAAAAAAATTAGCTGGGCGTGGTGGCACGTGCCTGTATTCCCAGCTACTCAGGAGGCTGAGGCACAAGAATCGCTTGAACCCAGGAGGTGGAGGTTGCAGGGAGCCAAGATCATGCCACTGTACTCCAGCCTGAGCAACAGAGTGAGACTCCATCTCAAACAAAAAAGAAAAAAAAAAAGAAAATATCATGTCCAAAATGCATTTAATACACATAACCTACCAAACATTCTAGCTTAGTCTAGCCTACCTTAAAAGTGTCCAGAACACTTACGTTAGCCTACAGTTGGGCAAAAATCATCTAACTCAAAGCCTTTTTTTTTTTTTTTTTTGAGACAGGGTCTCACTCTGTTGCCCAGGCTGGAGTGCAGTGGCACAATCTCAGATCACTGCAACCTCTGGCTCCTGGGTTCAAGCAATTCTCCTGCCTCAGCCTCCCAAGTAGCTGGGATTACAGGCGCACACCACCACACTCGGCTAATTTTTGTATTTTTAGTAGAGACGGGGTTTCACCTTGTTGGTCAGGCTGGTCTCGAACTCCCGACCTCAGATGATCCACGCATCTCAGCCTCCCAAAGTGCTAGGATTACAAGCATGAGCCACCACGCCCAGCCCCACTCAAAGCCTATTTTATAATAAAATGTTTACTATCTCATGTAATTTATTGACTACTGTACTGAAAATGAAAAACAGAACAGTTGTATAGGTACTCAAAGTATGGTTTCCACTAAATGGTATTGCTTTAACACCATTGTTAAATAAAAAAGTCTAGACGAACATTCACAAGTCAAGGACCATCTGTACTCTGAAAATTATAAAGCATTGTTGAAAGAAATGAAAGAAGACCTAAATAAAGGGATAAACAGCCCCTGTTTCTGGGTCAAAAAACTGAATGTTAAGATGGCAATACTACCCAAATTTATTTACATATTCAATGCAAACTCCAACAGAATTTCAGCTGGATTCTTTGCAGAAATTGACAAGATGGTCATAAAATTTATATGGAAAGGCAAAGGACCTAGAATAGCCAAAACAGTCCTGAAGAAACTTCTTGAAAAAGAACTAGCAAACTTTCCTATTTCAAAAATTGCTACAAAAAAACTATAATCAAGATACTATAGTATTGGCATAAAAACAGACATATAAATTAATGGAATAGAATTGAAAGTCTAGAAATAAGCCCATATATACATCTATGACCAGTTGATTTTGGACAAGGGTACAAAGATAATTCAATAGGGGAAAGAAAGAATAGAATAGTCTTTTCAACAAATGGTGCTGGGACAACTGGATGCCCACGTGTAAAATAGTAATGTTGATCTCTTCCTCATATCATATTCAAAAATTAAGTCAAAATGGATCAAAGACCTAAATGTAAGAGATAAACTATAAAACTCTTAGAGGAAAACCTAGCCATGAATGTTCATGACCTTAGATTAGACAACAGTTTTGTATGACACCAAAAGCACAAACAACAAAAGAAAAAAATACACTAGACACATCAAGATTAAAAAGTTTTTTTAGCTGGGCATAGTGGCATGCGCCTGTAGTCCCAGCTACTCAGAAGGCTAAGGTGGGAGGATTGCTTGAGGCCAGGAGAGTCCAGGGGTTTGAGGCTGCAGTGTGCTATGATTGTGCCTATGAATAGCCACTGCACTCCAGCCTGGGCAACATAGTGAGACCCATCTCTTTTAAAAAAAAAAAAACTCCTTTGTACATCAAAGGACACCATCAAGAAAGTGAAAAGACAACCCACAGAATGGGAGAAAATATTTGCAAATCATAAATCACTTTTATGATGAGGGATTTGTATCCAAATCAGTAAAGAACACTTTCAACTCAGAAATAAAAAGACAACCCAGTCAAAAAATAATCTGAATACACATTTTTCCACAGAAGATATAAAAGAGCAGATAAGCACATGAAAAGATGCTCAACATCATAGCCATCAAGGAAATACAAGTCAAGATGATAATGAAATACCACTTCACATCCACCAGGATGGCTATGATTGAAAAGGCACATAATAACAAGTGTTAGTGAGAATGTGGAGAAATCGGAACACTCATACACTGCTGGTGGGGATAAAAAAATGGTACACTCGATTTGTTTTCAAAACTAGCAGTTCCTCAGAAGGTAAAACATAGAATTACCATATGACCCAGCATTTCCACCTCTAGTATTAACTCCCCCGGGAATTAAAACATACGTGCACACGAAAACTTGTACACAAATGTTCATAGCAGCTTTATTGATAATAGCTAAAAAAACAAACAACTAAAGTGTCCATCAACTGATGAATGGTTACATGAAATGTGGTATCTGCATACCATGGAGTATTATTTGACAACAGAAAGAAATGAAAATGAAGTGCTGATATATTACAGCATGGACGAACCTTTAAAATGTTATGCTAAGTGAAAGAAGCCAGTCACAAAAGACCACACATTGTATGATTCCATTTATTTTTATTTTATTTATTTATTGATAGGGTCACGCTCTTTCACCTAGGCTGGAGTGCAGTGGCATGGTCATGGCTCACTGCAGCCTTGACCTCCTCCCAGACTCAAGCAATCCTCCCACCTCAGCGACCCTAGTAGCTGGGACTATAGGCACGCACCACCGTGCCCAGCTAATTTTTTCTGGGTATTTTTGGTAGAGATGGGGTTTTGCCATGTGGCCCAGGCTGGTCTCAAACCCCTGGCCTCAAGCTATCCTCCTGCCTCAGCCTTCCGAAGTGCTGGGATTACAGGTATGAGCCACTGCGCCCAGCTAGTTTGTAATCTCTAACTATAAAATCTGTAATAGTTTAGCCATTTGTCAGCTTTGTACTAGGAAATAATTATACTTGTCACTTTAAGTTTCAGAACCCAAGAACTAACCAATCTTGTTTTCATTAATGTCATCCTATAAATATTCTGTGAGTGTTTAAGCAGAGATAATATTTCACTTGTTCGACTGTCTCTGTGTAGCAACTCCACTTACTAGATTTTTGACCTTGAACTAATGACATAACACAGTCATGCCTCAGTTTCCCTATCTATAATATGAAGATAATAATACTCTCTACCCCATACAGTTGTTATAAGCAGCAACCAATTAAGCAAATATATAAAAATTGCTTTGAACTCTTATGGGACATATAGCAAATTACCATCACCACTTAACATCAATCATTATAGAAAAAACTAAAATTGCCTTTAATAGAGTGGATCAAAACATAATATGAATATATTTCTTCCACATCCATGAGGATGCAACAGAATATATTAATTTTAGTTTTACAGAAACATTACTGTTTTCTCATACTACATGTGAAATTATATACCCAGCATAATACTGAAAAAAAAAATCCAAAGAGTTTTCCCCTGCTTAGTTTGACTCTATGCAGATGTAAAGTTAGAGGCTATTTATCAAAGACAGAAATTTCAGCACAAGCATACAGGACACCTTTAAATTGATTAAGTAATTTAGTTAGTATTTCCAGACAGAATCTACTTATTTTCATTCTAATAAAACTAATTAAGGTATTTGACTGCCACTGGAAAATGTCAATTACAACCTATTTGAAATAATGAGGTCTTGAGGGCACCAAAAAACCAAAATAATTTATCCGATAATACTCTGAAAAACTTCTCTCATGAATAAAGGATGACACTCATTGAACTATTCACTATCAAGGACTATTGTCAAGTTTATAGAGACTGAGGTGAATCAAAATGTTTTCTTACTGTATTTTTTGTGTATATGTTTCTGTATTATGTGAAACTTAGCATGATTAGCTAAGTTTAAAATATTCCTGTATTTTATTCCATAACCTAGGAAGGCATACAATTCAGTAAAATATTCACTCTAATTTATTCTGAGAAAAAGCTCTCCCTAATTTAGATACAGGCTTACCACCACTTGCCTTTCCCATACTTTTTATAATTTATGTATTGACCGTTTATACACAGGGATAGTGGGGACCTTCTTGGCATCTCGAAACCTGATGGCAGTTTCCAGGACAATAATAATTTATAAAATGTTATGACTTATACACAGTTTCATATTTACCATCCCATTTGGTCCTCACAATTCTACAGAGGAGGCATGGCATTATCACCAGGGCTTCAATGCAGAAGTCTGCAGGTTGTATGCAAACAACTCCAGGAGGTGCTATTTAAATTGTAGTAGCTATAAATGTTTATACTTGTTATTACCATTTCCCAGCAGATGGCAGTATGATGGCTTCAAGAAGGAGACCTGATTTTTGTTTTGTTTTGTTTTTTCCATAGTTCCAACAAAGGCATGGCAGAGACAAATGGTGGGGCTAATTTATTACCTTCCCCTTTTGAATGAGCCTCAGAGAAGCAAAACAATTCACTCAACATTCCTGATAATTAAGGCAGAGGTGAGGACTAAGATCTGATTTTTTTTTATCTTGCCCAAATTCCTATCTAAGGGGTCTGGGGAGTTCATGCCCTACAAACCATAAATTCTCATCGGATGCGTTTTATTTAACCCTGTATATCAAGAGTTACTTTCCAATCTGATACTGGCAAAGAAAGAAAACCAAAATATATTTCCTTGCCATACCTTGAAATTGCCCTGCAAAGTCTCTTGTGGGAAAAATCCACATTCTGTAGAGAATCCCCTTTCCCCGCTTTGTTTTCCTTCCTTCCTTTCCAGATCCAGGAGATAATCAGCTAAGAGCCAGGCACCCTTCTAAGTGCAATAAGAAACATTTTACAACCTGCTCTCTCTGAAGTCAGCTATCTGAGAGCTTCCTCTGCACAATAAAACTTGGTCTCCACAATCCTTTATCTTAACCTGAACATTTTCTTTCCATTGATCCCACGCCTTCAGACAAACTCAACCAATTGTCAACCAGAAAATGTTTAAATTTACCTATAGCCTGGAAGCCCCCGCTGTGAGCTGTCCCACCTTTCTGAACCAAACCAATGTATTTCTTTCTTTTTTCTTTTTTTTGAGACAGAGTCTTGATCTGTCGCAGGCTGGAGTGCAGTGGCGCGATCTCGGCTCACTGCAACCTCCGCCTCCTGGGTTCAAGTGATTCTCCTGCCTCAGCCTCCCAAGTAGCTGGGACTACAGGCATGCATCACCATGCCCAGCTAATTTTTGTATTTTTTTTAGTAGAGATGGGGTTTCACCATGTTGGCCAGGATGGTCTCAATCTCTTGACTTCATGATCCACCCACCTTGGCCTCCCAAAGTGTTGGGATTACAGGCGTGAGCCACCGCACCCGGCCCAATGTATTTCTTAAATGTATTTAATTGATGTCTCATGCCTCCCTAAAATATATAAAACCAAGCTGTACCCCGACCACCTTGGGCATATGTTCTCAGGACCTCCTGAGGGCTATGTCACAGGCCATGGTCACTCATACTTGGCTCAGAATAAATCTCTTAAAATATTTTACAGAGTTTGACTTGCTTCGTCGACAGAGGCATTTTTTTTTCCTGGAACCAGGTTAAATAAATACCTATGGATGGGAAAACATAAATCATGGGCATACATTGAGCCTTGTAGGAGAAGAAAAGGCCGAAAGGGTATATGGACTAGGTATACTGTTTTCAAAGGAGTTCTTTAAAAACAAATTAATGTATTTATTTTAACTGACAAAAATTGTACATATTTATCATGTACAACATGATGTTTTGAAATATGTAGGCAAAGTGGAAATTGAGCTAATTATGACATGCATGACCTGACATACTTATCATGTTTGTGGTGATGTAACTGAGCCTATATTATCAAAATCATTAAACGTTTGTTTTTTACTTATTTTCCTTTCTCTTTGTCCTTTTCTTCCTCCATGCATGACTGCTTGCACGTAGTCATTCGGTAGACGGTAGTCACTAATAATTGATTAACTTTGCATCCTAACCCTGGCAGCCAGTAAGATTAATGAACTTGTTTTCCTTTCAAAGAACAATGATCCTTAGGTCATGCAGACCTCCTTGATGGCATCCAGAAGTCTGATTGAGCTGCGGGACACAAACAACTTTGATCATTGGGGGATTTCATTCTCCTGCACAGCTGCCTTACTCACAAAAACCCCCAGTTACGTTCAAAGGCAGGTAGGATTTGACCGATTGCCTCTCCCACAATGTCATTTTTGGAAAAATGAATACACCTTTCTCTGCTGCTAAGCACTGATGTGTCAGTATTTGGCTTACTGCCCATCCAACACGTGGACCTACATTTAGGGGTTCTACAACACTGAGAACACTTAAAATCTACTCTTTTATTTTCAATACAATACATTGTTATTAACTACAGTCACTGTGTTGTACTATAGATCTCTTGAACTTACTCCATCAAAGGGGTACTTGATCAGAAGGAAGAAAACCTGAACTGCTGCATATCACCTGGTTCAGGGAGTTACAGCCTTGCCTGTGCCCCTCTACACTGTCATGAGCTGTTAGCTAAGCACAGCTGTTGGATTAGAGGCACAAGGCGGCCTCTCCCATGCAGTGTTTTGGATCCAGGCCAGGAGAAATCCTAAGAGATAAAGGAACTATGAAAATACAAACTGTCAGGGATAGCATTAGGAGATATACCTAATGTAAATAACGAGTTAATGGGTGCAGCACACCAACATGGCACATGTATACATATGTAACAAACCTGCACATTGTGCACATGTACCCTAGAACTTAAAGTATAATAATAATAAAAAAAAATGAAAATACAAACTGTCACGTTCCAAGTATGTTGACACTGTAAGCTGAGGTGCGCAAAACTGACAGCCGCCCAACAGGACAGTGCTATTCCTACAACGCCTGCAACTGCAAAATCCAAAAAGCTCGAAATCAAGTTTTATCATAATTCACTTGATTATGATAAAACTCACTTGGCAGTATTCAGACAGTCCTAAACTCCCAGGGCAGCCAAACTGCACCTGACTGGTGTAAGGCCTTTAATGGTCCTCATCTTATTCTTAGTGTGAATACTCATGTTTCACTGCAGAAATGTTAATATTATTTGATCACCGGATGCTGCATCTGATCCCAGTGGAGATATCACAATCTATGTGGTATATGCTGCATATTACCTTTCTACAATCTGAAACCTGAATTTTTAAAACACACCTGGTCCCAAGCATTCCAGATAGCTATACTTAAAGTACATTTGATTGGTTCCTCTTCATAATTTCCAGAACAATGGTACTGACACATATATGCTTCAGGTGCACAGTACTCTCATTGATCAGACTTGCCATATTATTTTTAATCCTTATTAACATCAAAGCCAATTACAATAAATTCTAGGCAATGTATCCTGTAATGTTTTTGTAATGTGTTTATTTACATAAATTTAACCCAAAAAGATGTGTGGCTAAGGAAAAAACTGTATTGCAAAAAAATAGTTCATGAGAAGGTATACTTCTCATGAATATACTTGTTTGAATAAAATATATTCTTAGGAAAAGCTGACATGCTTTTTAAAAACGCTGATTACAAGAAGATAAATGGATATTCTACCTAAAAAAAAATTTACAGTTAGTGTTGTTAGTATGAGATTGGAAGCTGCAAAGCCCTTCCTGTGTTGAACCTGGTTTTCACAACTAAATCTGGAGCAAACTTTGGGATATAAGGACCTACCTGCGCCCCTCTACATCTTTGCAAACTGTCAACATCAGTTAAGGGTTGAAGAAAGATTTGAAGGGACACAGCTTTCTCAATAGACTGATGGAGGGTTTATCCAGCAAAGTTTTTCTCACCCTAACATTTTGCTAAATGAATATCCTTTTTCAGACCTTCTTGCACCATGAGACTTAACTGTTATTTTTCTATATTCCTACCAGTATCCACATCAGTCCCTTTTGGGGTGATTGGCCTTGAGCTAATAGCCCAAAAATAATAGTTAATAATAATTATCTAAATTATTATAAAGTGAGTGCCTAATAAATTAAAGGACCAATGGAGTTGAAATAATGATAACAGTTCATAATTAATGAGCATTTACTGTGCACTAGTCCCTGTTCTCAGCACTCTGCATATAACTCATAAACCTTCATGACACTCTAACGAGGAAGGTATTATGTATCCCATTCCATGGGAAAGTAAAGTGCTGTCCTCTAAGAATGACTGTCAACTAGTGGCTGACTCTCAGAGCATTTGAAATACATGGGGAGTTTCTGGTCATCACTTCAACTGAGGAAATGTAACCAGCATCTCATGAGTTGGGATCAGAGACGCTAAACCTTCTCAAGGAAGAAAACATTCTCTGGCAATGAGGAACCGCCTAAACCAAACGAAAACGACAGTCTATTGAGAACTCAGGAGAGCCAGTCTCCAGCTGAGTACTTACTTGTTTTCCACCATTCTTTTAATTGAACTTTTCATCTTTTTTAGACTTTTGTATTACCCAATTCAGATCACATTTAGAATTAAATCTGAGCACAGCTCTGAGCTTTCAGCCAATAGATGACCTGCTTGAAAATTGTTGTGCTGTTTCATGCATAGAAGCCTCTTTTCCTATTATCTTCTGCACTGCCACCAAAACAAAAGGAATAAACAAAAAGCCTGAACCCACTAACTTTTTATCTCAAAGCCACCAATATGAGAGTTAAACAAAACTCATAAAACTTCTATTTAATGGTATTCAATCTGGGGGGCACAAATTCTTATGAATACATCTGTCATGTAAAACTTTTTCACAAGGAAATATGTTTTCTGTTTCAATCAATCTAGTCATATTAGTGTAAACTGAGCAAAAAGACATAGAAAATAAACCTGTTAACAAATCAACATCATTGGCTCTCTGTTCTCTTACTTATTTCTGCTAATTTCACTTTTCCAGTCATCATTTCCGTGGAGGCAGATGACTGCCAGAGGCTTAACAGCCTCTAATTATCAGCTATACATGAAGAACCTTGGAGAGATAAGATTGAGATTGAAGATTAAGCCTCAAATTTAATCACTTAACAAGCTTGTTATACCAGATTTCTAGTTCAGTTTCTAGTTCAGTAGATCTACACGGAGCTCCACAATTTGTATAAATAAGCCCCCAGGTGATGGTAATGCTGCTGTTTCTTAAACAACATTTCCATTACATGTGGCAGGAAGGCAAGACTCTAAACTAGAAAGCGATTTTTTCAAGGCTGGGATCTTCACAAGACATTTGTTTTGAAGACGCTAAAAATTTAAGGTTTAACTCATGTTGCAATAAGAATCCTTTGGTCTTAGATTATACCTGTTCTGTATTTTTAATCATACGGTATCCTGGATAATTTGTACATAGGAAGTCCTTTACGTCTTTTAAGGCTTCAAGTATTCCTGTGAAATGTAACCATAAATCTGGAAGCTATAAACACAGTTGCTTGTGATGAAAAACTGCATGGTTTCCATCATTTTACTTGTATATAAAGCTTTTGAATTCTTTTGTTAATCAGAAATGCATTAAGGCTCTGTCTTTTCTTTTTTCTTTTTCTTTTTTTTTTGAGATGACGTTTCACTCTTGTTGCCCAGGCTGGAGTGCAATGGCGATCTCGGCTCACTGCAATCTCCACCTCCCGGGTTCAAGTGATTCTCCTGACTCAGCCTCCTGAGTTAGGTGGGATTACAGGCACCCACCACCACGTCCAGCTAATTTTTTGTATTTTTAGTAGCGATGGGGTTTTACCATGTTGGCCAGGTTGGTCTTGAACTCCTGACTTCAGGTGATCCGCCCGCTTCAGCCTCTCAAAGTGCTGGGATTACAGGTGTAAGCCACCGCGCCCGGCCCAAGGAACTTTTTTCTGTCTTTTCTCAGACTTCATTGGAGCTCAATTTGTGGCTCTCAGAAGTTCATTTCTTGAAGTGATGCAAATGAGAGACTGCATTTCTCTTTAACGCTCCTTCTGTCATGTCTTTCTAAAATACTGCACTTTCGAAGTTTCTAGCTGAAGAAGCAATATTTAGAAAAGAAAGCTGGGGCTGGGCGCGGTGGCTCACGCCTGTAATCCCAGCACTTTGGAGGCCAAGGCGGGCGGATCACGAAGTCAGGAGATCGAGACCATCCTGGCTAATACGGTGAAACCCCGTCTCTACTAAAAATACAAAAAAATTAGCCGGGCATGGTGGCGGGCACCTGTAGTCCCAGCTACTCGGGAGGCTGAGGCAGGAGAATCACTTGAACCTGGGAGGCGGAGGTTGCAGTGAGCCGAAATTGCACCACTGTACTCCAGCCTGGGCGATGGAGCAAGACTCTGTCTCGAAAAGAACAGAAAAGAAAAGAGAAGAAAAGAAAAAAGAAAAGAAATCTAGAAGTGAAATGCGAGAATCAGAAGTCCCACAACATGCTACCTGCAATCTACAAGAAATTCACTCTAGCGGCCCTAAACAAAGTTCTTACCTGCATAAGCTGCTGCTTCAACTTCTGTATTTCTGAAATGTTCAGCTCACTGAATAAGTCAGAGACAGGGTTCAGAGACTCTCCTTTCCTTAAGGTGGGAGTCCGATAGTCTCCATTCAGTTTCACAAGAGGCCCATGGATATGACCGTTCATTTTGTCATCATTGTTTGGTTCACTCCCATCCTCGGCAAATTTGAGTCCATCTACTGAGATGCTGATATGGTTATCATTGAGGCTGATATACTGGGAGAGCTCCTTCCGCAGGTTGTTCTTTTGCTCTCTTTCATTTTTTAAAGTCTCGAGGGCTTCTTCCAGTTGGTGCTCAGCAATCTCTTTCAATCGGATGGCATCTTCCAGCTGGCTGTTCAGCAGTACCGTCTCCTCCTCAAATCGCTTAATCTCATGCTTTAAGCCTTCGTATTCAACCTGAATCAGACAGGATAAAGAAGATTCATAAAACTAAAATGTGGATCTTACAAAACTGCCATTAAACACTCTAGTGGACCTAATCACTTAACAAAATACAACATGAGTCTAAAAAATAAATAATAAAAAGCACACAATATATCCTTAAAGTTATATAGGATAGTTTCTTTAGAAATTATATACCATATATAAAATATATAATTAGGTATTATAGTGATATAACATAAATGTTATATATAATTAGATCTAATAATATACATCTATATAACTCTCTATATAATTCAATTTTTAGCAGAGATGAAGAGTCTATTGTCTTAGGATTTCTTTCATAGGATCCAGTGGTCAAAAGGGGGCACTGTTTGCCCAATAAATAGGGAATATTTTTTGTAATAACTTATGAGAATATTTGCAATCTAAGAAAAGATTGTATCATCACCATTACTTTGTTTTATTTCCTTATTAATAATGAGGAAATTTTTATACCCAGAGATAAATTTGTTAACGATTATAATAACATAATCTCAGTAAAATGTTTGAGAGTAAGATGAAAATGCAAAGATCATTGTTATGTGCTTAAAGGATAGACAGAATCTGAAAGAACAGTTACATAAACTATCCAGTAACAAAAAATACCTACATTGCTTTTGTTTGTTTGTTTGTTGGTTGGTTTGTTTTGAGAGAGGGTCTCGCTCTGTTGCCCAGACTGGGGTGCAATGGTATGATCATGGCTCACTGCAGCCTCAACCTCCCGGGCTCAAGTGATCTTCCCATTTCAGCTCCTCAAGTATCACAGGCATGTGCCACCATACCTGGCTATTTTTTTTATTTTTTATTTTTATTTCTTGTAGAGACGGTCTCACTGTATTGCCCAGGCTGCTCTTGAACTCCTGGGCTCAAGCAATCCTCTGGCCTTGGCCTCCCAAAGTGCTAGGATTATATGTGTGAGCCACTGCACCTGGCCATATGTTGTTATTGAGGTAATATTCTTTTGAAATGCAATAAAAATAAACCTCCTCAAACAATCTCTTGGTCATGAAGGCCCACGGGTGACAGGGATGTCTCCTCTGAGCCGACATGCCTCCTTGGGATCCTTTCCATGGCACTTATCACATGCCACCTTTTAAGAAACATTTTATCTCCACAAGTACACTGTAATCTCCTTAGAGAAAGTAAGTACTTTTTTATCCACCTCATTGCTCCTCATAGTGCTTCAGTGTTCCTTCATGGTGTTTAAAACAGAATTCTGCTGTTCAATGTGCATTTGCTGAATAAAGAACTATGGAGAATGAAAAAATAAAGTAGAAAAAGTAAAATAAAGTCATCATGATATTAGATGCTAATACAAACTATGTGCTTAGTTTCATATTTATTTTAGCATATATATTAGTTTGAACTTGAATTTTAAAAAATATTTTAAAAACTGAAGAATAGGGAACATTGACCAGTATCATCATCATATATTTCTCTTTCTCCCCCAACTTCCCTTTATATAATCTCAATGCAATGGTTTGTCTCGCAAAGGTTAGGGTAGAGATTTAGTTGGGATGTAGCCTGGCTGATGTAACAGACACCTAAGCAAGAGTGACTTAGTCAAGATGGAACTTTTTCTATTTTTTTTTTTTTGAGACGGAGTCTCGCTCTGTCGCCCAGGCTGGAGTGCAGTGGCGTGATCTCGGCTCACTGCAAGCTCTACCTCCTGGTTGACGCCATTCTCCTGCCTCAGCCTCCTGAGTAGCTGGGACTACAAGTGCCCGTCACCACGCCTGGCTAATTTTTTTGTATTTTTAGTAGAGACAGGGTTTCACCATGTTAGCTAGGATGATTTCAATCTCCTGACCTTGTGATCCACCCACCTCAGCCTCCCAAAGTGCTGGGATTACAGGCGTGAGCCACCACGCCCAGCCAGAGGTTTTTCTCTTATGTAACAGTATGGAGGTAGACAGGAGGAGATTCCTCATGGAATCTCTGCTCCATGAGGTCATCCAGGAGCCAGGCTCTTCCTCTGTTGTTGTACAGCCTTCTAGTCTAGACCATACTATCTCAGGTGGCTTGCCATTTGATCATGTTCTAAGCGGTGGCACAAAATAAGGAGCACACTGTCTCCCTTTAAGGACATTAAAAGTTACCCACATCACTTGTTATATATCATTGGCTGGTACTAGTCTTATGCCATTTGGCTGCGAGGAGGAGTGAAGAATGTAGCCTTTACTCTGGGCAGCACTGGGCCCAGGAAAAAACTGAGAAATACACCGTCAGAAGGGAACAATGAAAGCTGATGGTAAACCAGCACTCACTGGTCACCGAAACACTGTGGTGCTCTAATAGGATGCAACTCATAAAGACATATGTATAGCAGATGTTTCTAACAATGCCAGTTGTATATGTGAATATGGATAGTGTTATTTCAGTGAAAGAATGTGCTCACCACACTATGGTGTGTGAAATGCATTATGAGGACTGGGCACGGTGGCTCAGGCCTGTAATCTCAGCACCTGTAATCTCAGGCCTGTAATCTCGGTGAATTGCTTGAGCACAGGAGTTTGAGACCAGCCTGGGCAACATAATGAAACCCTCTCTCTACAAAAAATAAGAAAATTAGCCAGGTGTGGTGGCGTGCACCTATAGTCCCAGCTATTCGGGAGGATGAGGTGGGAGGATCACTCGGGCCCAGGGAGGTCAAGGCTGCAGTGAGCCCTGATGGTGTCACTGCACTCCAATCTGGGTGGCAGAGTGAGGCCCTGTCTTGAGGGAAAAAAAAAAAAAAAGAAATACATTATGTACAAAAGATGCCTCTAAGGCAAAAAAAAAAAAAAAAATGGTCATTGGAATTTCAACATGTCCCTGATAGAATTACTCAAAAGAGTCAATATTGGAGACCATTATTTATAATATCCATTATTTAGAATGAAAACTAGAAAGTGCTAATTGTTCTACCATGAATATGCATTTGAATAAATATAACAAAAAATTAACAAATCTATCAATGGCATACTACCAATAACTGTCTTCTAATCAAGTAGGAGTTTCTGGGTTACATATCAACTACATTACTTAAGATTATGAGTACTTCATGGGAGAAAAATTGCACTTTGGGAAAAATGATAACTGGGCACTATAAATAGCATGTTACAAACATGATGGCATGGAAATGAAATATACTTTTCACAACTCCAAGGAGTTATTACCTGGCCTGGGACACCTAATAACTTGACAGGCCCTGGCTATCTACTACCTGCTCAAAGGCATGTGTCCCTGTAGTTTGCATTCTGTACTCTAGTGGGCTCCCCAGGCTGGTGTGTGCTCCCGTGTCCCTTCCACCAATTCAGACATCAAATGATTTAAAGCAGAGATCACAAGGGGTGCCCATAGACCATCGAGCCTATAGATGTGCTTTATTTGGCTTGTAACACGTTATAAAACTTTTGGAATTGATTGCCAATATTTAGAAAACTGATGATTTCACAAACATTTGAAAACTTCTGATTTCTTTTTTAAAAAAATCAAAAGTTCGGGCTGGGCTCAGTGGCTCACGCCTGTAATCCCAGCACTTTGGGAGGCTGAGGCGGGCGGATCACGAGGTCAGGAGATCAAGACCATCCTAGCTAACACAGTGAAACCCCGTCTCTACTAAAAATACAAAAAATTAGTGGGGCGTGGTGGCAGGTGCATGTAGTCCCAGCTACTCAGAAGGCTGAGGCAGGAGAATGGCGTGAACCCAGGAAGCAGAGGTTGCAGTGAGCCGAGATCGCGCCACTGCACTCCAGCCTGGGCGACAGAGCAAGACTCCGTCTAAAAATAAGTAAATAAAAATAAATAAATAATTCAGGCAACACTGGGCCCACCTTCACAGAGCACAAAAATCACCTGTAAGTGAGCACTGGCTGTTCCTTTTCCATCTACTTTTTCTTTTGTTTGTTTGTTTGTGACAGGGTCTTGCTCTGTTGCCCAGGCTAGAGTACAGTGGCTTGATCACAGCTCACTACAGCCTTGATCTCCCAGTCTCAATCAATCCTCCCACCTCAGCCTCCTGGGTAGCTGGGATTGCAGGCGCATACCTCCATGCTTGGCTTTTTTTTTCTTTTTGTAGAGACAAGGTTTTGTACCATGTTGCCCAGGCTGGTCTCAAACTCCTGGACCGAAGCAATCCTTCCACCTCAGCCTCCCGAAGTGCTGGGATTACAGGCGTGAGCCACTGCACTCGGCCTCTACTTTTTGTTTACATCTTGTACTTAATGCTATTTATAAGCTGCTTGTGGTCATTTGAGTTCACTGCTCCTGCCCTGTGACTGACTCTCTCCAACCTTTTCCACCGAGCAAACAACCTTTCCCACACTAAAGCATCCAGTCACCTTTCCTTTATACTTGCTGACTGACTGCATTTCAACTAGGTTGTTACTTCAAGCAAAAACATGCATTTTTTACTTTATCTCTGGTAGTGAAATGAAAGGTTCATTCTCTGATTATAGGAATCTCAATTTGTTAGCCAGGAAGCAGGGGGAAACTGAGGATGAAGTGTGGAGGAAGAGAGGAATCCAGAAACGCATGCTCAACATGATTTACTGCTTTGCAGGTGACTTGGGATGAAGGAGTATGGAAATCAGAAGGGCCTTTACCTCCTTATGAAAGGAGAAGCAAGGATTGCCCTCAGTGTGGTTATAAGAAAGGCAACTTGGAAATTGCTTCAGACAGCAGTGTGTTTCCTTGTGTCATGGTTTCTTTCAGGCCTGCTTAAATACTGTAAAGTTGGGCCGGGCGCAGTGACTCGCGCCTGTAATCCCAGCACTTTGGGAGGCTGGGGTGGGTGGATCATGAGGTCAGGAGATCAAGACCATACTGGCTAACACAGTGAAACCCTGTCTCTACTAAAAATACAAAAAAAAAAAATTTAGCTGGGCATGGTGGTGGGTGCCTGTAGTCCCAGCTACTCAGGAGGCTGAGGCAGGAGAATGGCGTGAACCCGGGAGGCAGAGCTTGCAGTGAGCCAGGATTGCTTCCACTGCACTCCAGCCTGGGCAAAAGAGCTGGACTCTGTCTCCAAAAAAAAAAAAAAAAAAAAAAAAAAAAATACTGTAAAGTCATCTTCCTCTCAACCCTTTCCTTTTCTTTCCCTGGACAACATAGGACACCTCTTGCCAACCTTTCCTAGTATTTCAACCAACCCTCTGACTGCCCCAGATTATGTGATAAGCTTATATTTGCAGACATTACTTTAGTTTGCATTGTAGACCTGTTTTGCTGCAATCTTTGTTAAACTGATGGCCTAGACCAGAGGTTGTCCAATAATAGTATGTCCTGGCTGGGCACGGTGGCTCATGCCTGTAATCCCAGCACTTTGGGAGGCCGAGGCAGGAGGATCATGAGGTCAGGAGATCGAGATCATCCTGACTAACACGGTGAAACACCGTCTCTACTAAAAAATACAAGAAAATTAGCCAGGCATGGTGGCGGGTGCCTGTAGTCCCAGCTACTTGGGAGGCTGAGGCAGGAGAATGGCGTGAACCCGGGAGGCAGAGCTTGCAGTGAGCTGAGATCGCACCATTGCACTCCAGCCTGGGCGACAGAGCGAGCCTCTGTCTCAAAAAAAAAAAAATAGTATGTCCTCCGGAGCAAATCCAGCCCACCACCTATTTTCGTGTAGACAG
This sequence comes from Homo sapiens, assembly GCF_000001405.40. Lineage (NCBI taxonomy): Eukaryota > Metazoa > Chordata > Mammalia > Primates > Hominidae > Homo > Homo sapiens. The sequence continues at coordinate 32,300,054 of NC_000012.12, read as the reverse complement.
TTCTATTGGAACACACTCCCATGTATTTGTTTACATGTTGTCTATGGCTGCTTCTACCAGAGCAGAGCTGGGTAGTCGCAAGAGAGATCATGTGACCTATGAAACCTAAGATACTTACTATCTGGCCCTTCACAGAAAAAGTTTGCTAACTCTGGTCTTGACTTGAAGACATTAATTTAGTTTGCACTGCAGAGTTTAAAATTCAGTAGTATTTATTCAATTGATGGCCTAGACTTCCTGTAAGACCCGATCTCTTGCTATGTCACCCAGGCAGGAGTCCAGTGGCACAATCATGGCTCATTGGAGCCTCAACCTCCTGGACTCAAGTCATCCTCTCGCCTCATTTTTTAAATTGTTTTTTTGTAGAGACGAGGTCTCACTATGTTGCCCAAGCTGGTTTCAAACTCAAGTGATCCTCGTGACTTGGCCTCCTAAAGTGTTGGGATTACAGGTGTGAGCCACCGTGCCTGGCCCTGATCTCTTTCTGTCTGGGCAGCTTCACTCACACCACTCACTCAAATGTGGTACAAGCTCCTACTATTCACCCAGCTGTTTCATGTTTCTCCGCCTGGGAAAAGGCTGTCATCTGGAAAACTCTTATTCCTCTTTTAACACCTAAGTTAAGAATCTCATCCTAACTGAAGTCTTTGGTGCCCACTGAGGCAAACTCATCACTCCTTTCTGTGCCGTTGTTGTAAGGCTGCACCATGTGATTAGAGCCCCAGCAAAGCAGAGGAAGCAAGAAACGGAACAAGAAGGTGCTTAAAAACTGGTGTTTGATATTTTAAAGACAACATCAAAGCAGTCACCATAGGAAAAATAAGTGCTTTATTAGGATTCCTTATGGCAACTTCATAGTTTAATAACTTTATTTTTAACTACATGACGGTCAAGGTTAGATATCATAATCCTTTCAGAGCTTAGGAACTCTAAAGATCTTAATCTATCCCTGTGTTGCCAAACCTAACATGTGGCTTTAATATTCATTTACACAAATTGCTAGGAGTCCCTATTGGGACTACAAGCTCTTTGAGCCAGTGACTGTATCTTTTGTCTCTAAAAAGTACATGATCTCATAGAGAGATACCCCTGAAATACCGGTTAAATGAAATAAAACAACTGAATACATTTCCTAGGTCTTTTATGATATTACCTTATGATATTCTTTTTTTTTTTTTTTTTTTGAGATGGAGTTTCACTCTTGTTGCCCAGGCTGGAGTGCAATGGCATGATCTCGGCTCACTGCAATCTCTGCCTCCCAGGTTCAAGCGATTCTCCTGCCTCAGCCTCCCTAGTAGCTGGGATTACAGGCATGTGCCACCACGCCCGGCTAATTTTGTATTTTTAGTAGAGACGGGGTTTCTCTATGTTGGTCAGGCTGGTCTCGAACTCCAGACCTCAGGTGATCTGCCCGCCTCGGCCTCCCCAAGTGCTGGGATTACAGGCATGAGCCACCATGCCCAGCCTCTTTTTTTTTTTTTTTTTGAGGTGGATCGGAGTCTCACTGTGTCACCCAGGCTGCAGTGCAGTGGCGTGATCTCGGCTCACTGCAACCTCCGCCTCCTGGGTTCAAGCGATTCTCCTGCCTCAGCCTCCTGAGTAGCTAGGACTACAGGCACCTGTCACCACGCCCGGCTAATTTCTTTTTTATATTTTTAGTAGAGACAGGGTTTCACTATGTTGGCCAGACTGATCTCGAACTCCTGACCTCGCGATCCGCCCACCTCGGCCTCCCAAAGTGCTGGGATTCCAGGCATCAGCCATTGCACCCAGGGTGATATTCTTATATATTATTACCTGACATTGGAGGAAATGTTTCATATTAGAAGTGTGACTGAATTGTTGCTTTTTTTTTTCCCATTTTTTTTTTTTGAGACAGGGTCTCACTCTATCGCTCAGGCTGGAGTACAGAGGTGTGATCACAGCTCACTGCAGCCTCAGCCTCCCAGGCTCAAGTAATCCTTCCATCTCAGCCTCCCAAGTAGCTGGAACCACAGGTGTGCATCATCACACTTGGTTAATTTTTTTTGTTGTTGGTAGAGATGAGGTCTCCCTATGTTGCCCAGGCTGGTCTCAAACTTTTGGACTCAAGTGATCCTCCTCAGCCTCCCAAAGTGCTGAGATTACAGGCATGAGCCACCGTGCCTGGCCAGTTTTCTTATTCTTTCAACAAGTATTTATTTAATATCTACTGTGGATCAGGCTCTATCGTAGGTGCTATATGTTAATGGAAGGAAATGGAATGTAAATAGACTCTTTATAGAAAGTAAGAGGTGTTTTTTAAACAATAATTACACTGTACTTAGAAAATAATAAATAACTAAAAGAAAAATAATACTTCAGAAGGGAAAATTCTTTGAACTAAGCATTTTAAAATGGTAGTAGCTTTGCTGTTTAGAGAAACATCAAACCAGGCTGAAGGACTATACAACGTATTGGGAACTTCAGTACAAAGTAACACAGTCCAATTTTGTGACCGAATGCTACTCATTGTCATCTCTTTAAAAAACTCTGTGGCATTTGTACATACAATATTGTACTTAACACTTCATTAATTAGGGCCGGGCATGGTGGCTCATGCCTGTAATCCCAGCACTTTGGGAGGCAGAGGTGGGCGATCACTTGAGTCCAGCCTGGGCAACATAGGGAGGGCAACATGGCAAAACCCTGTCTCAACTAAAAATACAAAAATTAGCTGGACATGGTGGCACACGCCTGTAATCCCAGCTACTCAGGAGGCCGAGTCACAAGACCAGGAGGCGGAGGTTGCAGTGAGCCGAGATTAAGCCACTGCATTCCAGCCTGGGTGACAGAGCAAGACCCTGTCTCAAGAAAACCCCAAAAAACCAAAAAACTTTATTGATTAGAGAGAGTTTATGATAGATGCTAGCATCTATAAAGAAAGATCAGTTACTACTGGAAACAAACACAGCATTTTCTTAGCTGGGAGAGACTTGTGGCATTTCAGTTCCCCCAATTTCAGGGAATAAACCAGAATGGTGCTCTGTGCAGAAAATGATTTTGAATGAATTAATTAGATACTTAATTGGGAAAATTAGCATATGGCATGTTGGAAATAAAAAATGTGTAAGTCCCCCCTCCTTTTTAAAAAACTTCTGAGTTAACCATTGGATTCCATGTTTCAATTACTGGGAGAAGGGCATGGGGAAACTCACAACAGGAATGACAGTACAAATTCTCCCAGAACCGGCATCTGGGTTAATGAATACTCAAGGGATACCTTGGCAGTCTTTCAAGAATATCTAATACTGGCCTTCATTAACCTCCTGAGTCCATCAGTCTCCACATGCGGTCAGGGAAGGCTCTCCAGGGAGGCTGCTGATCGTGCTCTCACCATGCTCTAGAGAGCAGTGAGGAGTGTAGGAATCGGGAAGGAAGGGCCACTTTAAATAGTTGCACTTCAAGTAAATTTGTTTCAAATCCTCTATGTGTTTCATCAATAACCAAAAAAAGGACCACAAGAAAATACCCTTCTTAGGTCAGGCGTGGTGGCTCACACCTATAATCTCAGCACTTTGGGAGGCTGAGGCGGGCAGATCATGAGGTCAGGAGATCGAGACCATCCTGGCTAACACGTTGAAACCCCATCTCTACTAAAAATATAAAAAATTAGCCAGGCGTGGTGATACATGCATGTAGTCCCAGCTACTCGGGAGGCTGAGGCAGGAGAATCGCTTGAACCCAGGAGGCAGAGGTTGCAGTGAGCCAAGATCGCGCCACTGCACTCCAGCCTGGTGACGGAGCGAGACTCCGTCTCTCAAAAAAAAAAAAAAAAAACAAAAAAAAACCCCTTCTTATTTTAAAAAGTATTCGAGAAGCATCTTTACAAATGTATTTTTCTAAGTCTACATTTCTCCACTGTGAGCTCACTTATCCCAGCCAAATCAAGACCTGGGGAGCCTCTGGAATGGCCAGCCCTCAGCACACATATGGGGATTCAGTGCTTACGGAAGGAATGAGGCAGAAACACATGGGGATACTCCAGTAGCCCTTTTTTGATGGACTGAAACTGTCCCCTTACATGCCTTCCCCCCAGCACTCCAAATCTGGGGGAAGTGGCAATGATCAGAAATCAAATTTTGGCCAGACGCTGTGGCTCGTGCTTGTAATCCCAGCACTTTGGGAGGCTGAGGTGGACGGATCACTTGAGCTCAGGAGTTCAAGACCAGCTTGGCCAACATGGTACAACCCTGTCTTTACTGAAAATACAAAAATTAGCTGGGTGTGGTGGCTCATGCCTGTAATCCCAGCTACTCGGGAGGCTGAGGCAGGAGAATTGCTTGAACCAGGAGGTGGAGGTTGCAGTGAGCTGAGATCATGCCACTGCACTCCAGCCTGGGCAACACAGCAAGACTCTGTCGCAAAAAAAAAAAAAAAGAAATCAAATTTTAATTGTGCCACTACATGGATTTTTCTCTTCTGGATTTTTTTTCTTTTCCCTCTTAACCCTTATATCTATCAATCAATCAATCAATCAGTGTATCATGTAGATACCAACTCAGGAAGGGAGTGAGGTAAAAGCATACATCTGGGCTGGCTTCTAAGTTTACAGAGGACAAGAATCATGCCCTATGGATTCTTGTGTCTGTCCAACCTAGCACAGCACCTGGCACATAGGCTGTTGATCTGAACTGAGAGGTGGCAACAGCGTTTAGACCAGAATAGAGGTGTCGCTGAGGAAGCACCTTGAAAAGAACTCGAACATCCAATTCACCTTTGCTTAATTAACTACTCGATTCAACTGTATTCATAAATAAATTCTTCTAAAATTACAGATTCAATAATTATTAATAGTTCTGAAAATCCACAATGCAAACCAATCAGGAAAATTAAGCTATCAAACCCCCATTACAGCAAAAAAATCATTTAAATGTACGAATGTAATCTTTGTAGTCAGGTTACAGCTGAAAAAGAAAACAGGCATTTTCTTTTTCTTTTTTTTTTTTTTTTTCGAGACGGAATCTCACTCTGTCACCCAGGCTGGAGTGCAGTGGTGTAATCTCGGCTCACTGCAACCTCCGCATCCTGGGTTCAAGCAATTCTCCTGCCTTAGCCTCCTGAGTAGCTGAGATTACAGGTACCCACCAACATGCCTGGCTAATTTTTGTATTTTTAGTAGAGACGGGGTTTCATCATGTTGGCCAGACTGGTCTCAAACTCCTGACCTCAGGTGATCCACCCGCCTCGGCCTCCCAAAGTGCTGGGATTACGGGCATGAACCACCACGCCCGGCCTCTTTTTCTTATAATTTTGCTCTTCTTGATTTATACTTCATAATCCATTCCCCTCTACGATTTGAAAGCAATTTACAGAAAAAATTTTAAGGGAGTGAGAGACCAGTGATTGTAGGGAGACCCTAAGCTCATAGACAAGCTTACAGACCCAGGCTTTTTTTTTTTTTTTTTTTTTTTTTAAGACGGAGTCTCACTCTGTCACCAAGGCTGGAGTGCAGTGGCACAATCTGGGCTCACTGCTACCTTGACGTCTTGGGTTCAAGTGATTCTCCTGCCTCAGCCTCCCAAGTAGCTGGGATTACAGGAACACACCACCATGCCCGGCTAAGACTCAGGCTTTTAATGAGAAGTTGTCAGGTTAAATTTGTTACGATACATTTGACTTATGAAATAAATGAACACAGAGCTAAAATAAAAACTAAAATTCTTTTTCTTATTCAATAAAACTTTAGTGTACACTATACTACTTACAGGTGTATTTTTTCCTTCTATATTTTAGCTGAAATAGGAGGGTTGGGACATTGCAGTACATAAATGTTATAGAGAGAAGATAAAAGAGTAACAATAAATTCTGACAAGTTTGGAGATTTAACCCTAGTGGTCAGAAGATGTAGATCCATCTTCAGTATAACAAAAAATTTCTTAAACCTTACCTGGTTCTGCTTCAACGTGGACACTAGTTTCTGCAATGTGATATTTTCTTCTTCCAATTCAGTATAGTCCTGAAGGAGCCGTGCCTCCCGGAACTTATATTCTCGGATTTCATCCTTCATCCGTATTCTCTGTAGCTCCACCATCTCATTGTTCTGAAACAACAGAGTAAACAGTCAATATATAACTCTCTTATTGTAGATTTTACAAGGTGTAAAGTCCTGGTAGTTAAAAATAATAATAAAAACACCTCATGGGGTGTAAATTGTTACTGCATTTTTTCGAATGGCAATTTAGTGGTATCTGTCAAAAACTTAAAAGCACATATATATTACCCAGCAATTCAACATCTAAAAATCATTCTTAAGTATGTTTTCATAGAAGTAAATAGAAACAGAAACAAATCCATGTATACTTACACAAAAAATTGGAAACAGTCTAAACGTTTGCTATTTGGGGAACACATTATCATGCATCCATTGAACGGAACATTATAAAATTATTTTAAGAAACGAGAAAGGCCGGGCGCTGTGGCTCACACCTGTAATCCCAGCACTTTGGGAGGTCAAGGTAGGTGGATCACCTGAGGTCAGGAGTTTGAGACCAACCTGGCCAACATGGTGAAACCCCGTCTCTACTAAAAATACCAAAAAAAAAAAAAAAATTAGCCAGGCGTGGTGGTGGGCGCCTGTAATCCTAGCTACTTGGGAGGCTGAGGCAGGAGAGTCACTTGAACCTGGGATGCGGAGGTTGCAGTGAGCCGAGATCAGGCCACTTCACTCCAGCCTGGGCAACAGAGCAAGACTCTATCTCAAAAACAGAAAAAAAGAATGAGGAGAAACTTTATTGTACTAAAATGGAAATGTAGTCACAATATATTATTAAATGTGAAAAGCAAGTCATAGATTAGTATGCATATTAGGATCCCAGGTATGTTAGAAATACAGGGAACACACACATACACAGATACATGCACACTTCCATGTCAGAAAAAATATTTGTAAGAATATCCAGAAAACTGTCAATAGCGGTGACTTATAAAGAATTAGACTGGGCAAGCCACAGGGATAAGGAGAGGAGCCTATTCGTTTGATTTTATGTCCTTCTGGATCATTTCAATTTTTTTTTTAACAACAAGCTTGTATTACCAGGACTTATGTGTAAAGTTACAGGATATAAATCAATCAATTAAGTAAAATATTTAACTTTTTCCATAAACTTATATGGCAAGTATAAGCTATGTTTTAGTTCAAAATGTATAATGACCACATAACAGATATAAACATTTATACATGTAACATATTCATAGTCATGGAAAGATGGGATATAAAAGTTTTCTTTTAATTAAGGATTAATTAGATTTGTTTCCTATTCAAACAAAGAGAAATATGGGAAGAAGTATCATAGAAACCAAAAACCACATTTTCTTATGTAATACCTAGATATCCATATGCGAAAAAAATAAGTCATGATGCATTTGGCCTTCACACCATAATTTGCAGAGCCTTGATATAGTGGTAGGTAGGACTGACAATGAATAGAAACTGCTATTGCAACACAGATGAATCTCACTAATATATTGACTGAAATAAGCCAGATGCAAAAGACTACATACAATATGATTCTGCATGTAAAGTTCAAAAACATGCTATGTAGGTTCAATTGTCTCCCAAAAAAGACATGTTGAAGTCCTAACTCCCAGGGTCTTTACAAAGGCAAAAATTAAAATGAGATCATTAGAGGAGGCCCAATCCGATAGGGCTGCTGTCTTTATAAAAAGGGGAAATTCAGCCACACAGAAACTGACACATACTTCTGCATGTGGGATGGGAAGACTATGTGAAGAAACACAGGGAAAAGATGGCCACGTGACCATGGAGGCAAAGACCGAAGTGACCCATCTACACGCCAAGGAACATCAAGGATTGCCAGCAAACACCAGAAGCCAGGAAGGGGCAAGGAAAGGCCTTTCCCTAGAGCTGCCAGAGGGAGCATGGCCCTGCCGACACCATGATTTCTGACTTTTGGCCTCCAGAACTGTGAGACGATAAATTTCTGTTGTTTTAAAGCCACCCAGACTTTGTTACGGCAGCCCTAAGAAAAGAATACCTGGGCAAAACTAATCTACAGTGACAGAAGTAAATGCACTGTTATCTTTGCAGGAGGGTAGGGTGACATCTGCAAGCACTAGAAACATTTTAAAGGTCTCTATCCTAACAGAGAGCCAGCTCTAGAAGTATACCTGACTTTCCGACATATGCTTTCAAATGTCTCTCATCTTGCTTCATAGTCCACAGATTTTTTTTTTTTAAAGACATGTTCTCACTCTGTCACCCATGCTACAGTGCAGTGGCATGATCACGGCTTACTGCAGTCTTGACCTCCCAGGCTCAAGTGATTCTCCCACCTCAGCCTCCTAAGTAGCTGGGACTACAGGTGTACACCAGCACAACTGGCTCATTTTTGTATTTTTTGTAGAGATGGTATTTCACTATGTTGCCCAGGCTGGTCTCAAACTCGTGAAGGCAATCCTTCTGCCTCAGCCCCCAAAGTGCTGGGATTACAGGTGTGAGCCACTGTGCCCAGACTTCTACAAATTTAATATATATTTTTTTTTTTGGTAGAAGCAGGGTCTTGCTCTGTTGCCCAGGTGCCTTAATCACAGCTTATTGTAGCCTTGACCTCCCAGGCTTAAGTGATCCTCCCACCTCAGCCTCCTGAGTAGCTGGGCCTACAGATGCACACCATCACGCCCAGCTAATTTTTAAATTTTTTATAGAGGTGGGGTCTCGCCATGTTGCCTAAGCTGGTCTCGAATGCCTGGGCTCAAGCAATCCTCCTGCTTTGGCCTCCCAAAGTGCTGGGATTATAAGCGTGAGCCACTACACCCGGCCCATATTCTATAGATGTTAACTGTAAATAACTCCCTTTGTCTCTGGTTTTCAGAGGCATGTTCAGTTGTCTATTTGAACATGGTGATGTTTTTTCTTCTGACTTGACTCCTGAGTACAGCTCTTCCTAGTTCTGTTTATGCATATGTGAAAACAACAAATTATAAACACATAATCTTTCATGTAAAAAATGAAAAATTCAACTCCAAAATCACTGATGCAGTTCCAGCTAATAAAATAGGCAGACACTGTAATCTCTAAGTAGTGGCGTTAGCTCAGAGTTTTGGGGAGGATAAGGGGTTGTTGACTGTGGTGTAAAGACAGATGTTAAAAAAATTATTCTGACACTTGTTAAAATGGTAAGGAAGACTTCATTCAAAACCATTGCAATTGGAGGGGGGAAAAGAAGGGGCTCAACTCTGAAACAGCAAGAGCAAGTGAAGATTTATAGCCAAGAACAGCATGAGGATGTCAAAGGATGGGAAATTGCTAAAAGAACACATCAAGGGCAGGGGAATTCTTGCTAAGCTGGCCTAACAGGACTCTTGCTAAAGGCAGTCCAAGGACTTAGACATCAAAAAGGTGGAGGATGAAGAACTTGATCAGATATCAAGGGTAATTAGATATCTAGGGTTGGGAGATGACTTAGCAGAATTCCTTGCTAAGGCTGGGCTGGGCAAGCCAAAGCTGGGGGTGGAGCAAGCTTGAAGCCTGGTCCAAAAGAGACATTAGCAGAGCATGACTGAAGCTTGGTTAAGGAGAGAGTCTTTGACACCTCACAGTCATGAACTGCAGTCTGATAGGAATGAAAGCTAAGAAAGTTTGCAAGACACTTTACCTGGTGATAATATGAATATAGATCCTAACTTGGGCAGGGCCAAAGCTTTTTTGGCATCAGAAGATTTTTATCCATTCTGTATCTTATCATCATAAAAGCTCACTGGCTAGCTTGTAAGGAGTTCCCCAGAGACGTGCAGATTTCATCAATTTAATGTAATATCCTATGGAATGTAATCATCAATCCTGAAGCTGAAGCTATACAAACTAATTGGTTGTTTTGGAAACCTGCTTTCAACCTACTATATGTAACCTCATTTATATATAAGGGGTTGGAGCTCCTTGTTATTCAGAATGCTTCTAGGCTGTCTGGCGTTTTTCACTTTAGCTCTCATTATAATAAACTGGTAACTCCAACAGAGTCATTTCATCAACACTTTAGTAATTCACCTATGCCTACTCCACCAGTTGACTTTAGCCTAATCCTCCCTTTACAGCTTCCCTCTGTTTTTATCAGTGCTGACCTCTTAAAGCAATTCTGTAGGTCACAAGTGTCAACATAGAAGTCTTCTGAAAATAGAGTTTGCCAACTTAAAAGAACCTTACCAAAGGCTTCTATGAATTTCCTAAAAACAAAAAAATGGGCTTCTGTTTCTTGCCTCTCTACAGGAGATTATTTTAAGCAAATATGCCTGAATTTATGAAATAGTAAATATTGGTATATAATACTGTTTAAAGGTGGTTTTCCCAGCTCTAGAAAGCTACGCCCAATCATCCTCTATAAACAACAGACTCTGGGGCTGGGTGCGGTGGCTTACGCCTGTAATCCCAGCACTTTGGGAGGCCAAGGTGGGCGGATCACAAGTTCGAGAGATCAAACCATCCTGGCCAACATGGTGAAACCCTGTCTCTACTAAGAATACAAAAATTAGCTGGGTGTGGTGGCACGCGCCTGTAGTCCTAGCTACTTGGGAGGCTGAAGCAGGAGAATCACTTGAACCTGGGAAGCAGAAGTTGCAGTGAGCTGAGATCGCACCACTGCACTTCAGCCTGGCAACAGAGCAAGACTGTCTTAAACAAACAAACACACAAACAAACAACAGACTCTGATATCACAATAGATATATGGAATAGCAAAAAAGAATTTTCTTATTTCTGCCAAGATAACTGAAAAAAGTTAGCAATGACCCCAAAAAATCATAAAATACAATTTACATACAATACCTACTTTCACACTCTGTGGGTATGGTGCAGTGGGGAAGTGGAGGTCCCTTTGCAAGTTTCAGAAGCTTTCAAAGAAGTCACATGATCTGGCCCTACCTCTGTCTCCAACCACTCTGCCCCTCAATCTTTGGCTCTGGCCGCAGGAGCTTTCCTTCTGCTCCTCTATCCCATTGGACATGCCAGCTTGCTTCTGCCTTGAGGCTTCTATACTCCTCTTTCCAGAACTCCCTGCCTTTAGATCAAGGGCTCCTAATCTCATAATGTGCTTGACCCTCTTTGACAATGTGCTGAAGCCTATGTACCTCTTCTCAGAATAATATTTTAAAAAGTGTAAAAGACAAAATTACAGAAAACACCGAACATGTTAAAATTACTATAATTTTTTTTTTTTTTGAAAGAGTCTTGCTCTGTCACCCAGGCTGGAGTACAGTGGCATGATCTTGGCTCACTGCAACCTCCGCCTCCCAGGTTCAAGTGATTCTTGTGCCTCAGTCTCCCAAGTAGCTGGGATTACAGGTGCCTGCTACCACACCTGGCTAATTTTTGTATTTTTACTAGAGACAGGATTTCGTTGTGTTGGCCAGGCTGGTCTTGAACTTCTGACCTCAAGTGATCCACCTGCGTTGGCCTCCCAAAGTGCTGGGATTACAAGTGTGAGTCACCAAGCCCGGCCAACTTATTATAATAATTTTTAAAATTATGACATAGGCTGGGCACAGTGGTTCATGCCTGTAAACCCCACACCTTGGGAGGCTGAGATGGGAGGATCACTTGAGTCCAGGAGTTTGAGACCAGCCTGGGCAACATGGTGAGCCCCATCCAGAAGATTATTTTGTACAAAAAAAGAACATGCCAAAATTAGCCAGGTATGGTGGTGCACACTTTTAGTCCCAGCTAGTCAGGGGGCTGAAGTGGGAGGATTGCTTGAGCCCCAAAGGTCAAGCCTGCAGTGAGCCATGATCATGCCACTACACTCCAGCCTGGGCTACAGAGTGAGACCCTGTCTCAGAAAAAAAAAAAAAAAAAAAAAAAATTAGGACTTGGTAGGTGACAGGTAAGTATATTAATGGCCCCCAATTAATCACACTTCCCTGAAGTCACAACCCATGGAATTCCCTCTCAAACTGACTGAGCTGGCCTTTGGATTTGTTATGACCCACAGAAGACAGTGGAAGTGCTGGGGAGTTCTGAGCCTGAGCCTCACGGGGCTTTGTGGCTCATGCTCTTGCTGTCTTGTAACACTGTGACTATGTGAAGAGCCCCAGGGTAGCCTGTTGGAGCCATGTGGCCCAGCCTGCAGTCAGCACCAGCTGCTGGGCATGGGAGGAAGGCCATCTTGGACTATTTGGCCCAGTGGGGCTGTCAGATGACTGCAACCACATGAGCAATCCTGGCAAGTCCTTAAGAACCACCCAGCCGAGGCCGGGCACAGTGGCTCATGCCTGCAATCCCAGCACTTTGGGAGGCCGAGGCGGGCGGATCACAAGGTCAAGAGATCGAGATCATCCTGGCTAACACGGTGAAACCTCGTTTCTACTAAAAAATATAAAAAAGTAACCAGGTGTGGTGGCGGGCACCTGTAGTCCCAGCTACTTGGGAGGCTGAGGCAGGAGAATGGCGTGAACCCAGGAGGCAGAGCTTGCAGTGAGCCAAGATCGTGCCACTGCACTCCAGCCTGGGCGACAGAGACAGACTCCATCTCAAAAAAAAAAACAAAAAAAAAAACACCACCCAGCTGAGCACAGCCCAAATTGCTGACCAACAGAATCATGGGTTATTGTTTAAAGCTCCCAAATTGTGGGTCATTCATTACCCAGTAATACATAATCAATACAGTAATACATGTGCTTCTTTATTAACACAATTAGAATCAGATCTAGTATCACATCCAAGAAATCTCATAATTTCAAAGCAATGATAACATTTCAAGACACCTGTGAAAACTGAGATATAATTTAAAAAAACTATACTTTCTACTGGTAACAAAGTAACAAGTGCTACTAGTACTACTGAGATTTGTTGTCTACATTCAAATAGAAGAAAATGCTAAATTTCAGTCTGAGTTGAGTGAAAATACAGATGTAATTATTTTTCTGATCCAAGTCTATAGACCTCCTGAAATCTATCCACAGACTCCCAGAAACTCAGCTGAAAAACTCTTCTGTGTTTACTTGTTATTTAAGTCTCATTTCAGATGTCATCTCCTCAGGGAAACCTTCCCTGAGCAACTAATATAAAATAGCTCCCCTCGCCCTCCACTCACCCATCAGAGTTACTTTATAGATTAGTATTTAGCATGGAGTACATACTTAGAAAATAAGTGTTGACAGAATGACACTGATTATTATTTGAAACTGGCTACTTACTTTTTATACATTTTATATTTATTACATTTCCTTTTGCATCTGAATATAATGATCCTTTGCTGCCTTGTTATCCTGTGTCCCTAATACCTGGTACATTTTAGGCCCTAATGACCATGGAATGAATAATAAAACAGGTATACAAGTGATTAATCCCCCAAAAAATATATATTACATGGATGACAGCTTCCTGTGTTGTGTTATTTGAGAAGGAGGCACAAAGGGAGAACAATGCACTTTGAAATAAAATACACCTAAATCTTCAAAATAACTTGACTTGTTATTCTTCTCTAATATATTGTCAAGTTACTTGGTTTCTGCCTTCTGTTCCTTGGGCAATACTTGCAGCATAGTGTGGAATAATTGTAGAATGAAAAATAGTAGTGTTCCCCTAATTTGGCTATAAAGTCAAATTACAGTATTTCATTACATTCTTTTTTTGTAGAAACATATTATCTTAATTTTTTTCTTTCTTGAAAAATCTATCAACTGAGTGAATGATATATATATTTACTTATTTTTCCTTATTTAATATGTATAAAAAAGATATCAGGAAGCCCAACGAACTGGATGACAGTCATTTATATAAAATTGTAAAGAAAAATGTTAAGATACAAGAGATTCTGAAATGGGAATATATACATTGTAAAAAATATAACGGCTAATAATCTGGCTTATATACTCTGGGAATTAACCATAAAATCTTATGCAGTGAAACAGTAAATGTCAAGAAAATTTAAGACCACAGCAAAGCTAATGAGGATCACTAACAACTCGTAAAATAACTAATGAAAACTCCTGATGCTAATTAAGGACAAGGAAGAGCTTGGGCTGCAACACTGGTTAAGCTGAAAGACTCACTGAGATGAACAGACACAAGGCCCAGAGGAAGAAAACTGGTCTTATTTATTTTGCTAAAAATCCTTGCTTTTTGAATTGCCAGCGATTATATTCTAGGGGCATGTTCTTTAATTTCACAATAAATTTAAAAGATTGCAACTGTTGTGTTTTGCACCATTCATCATACATTTATCTCCTACAATTTTTTTTTCTTCCTGGGATAAGATGGCGCTGAGCTCTGCTAAAAATTCCCATCAAGAATAACCAGAGTAAGAAAAATAATGCATGAGAGAAAGGGAAGAAAATGGCACAACAGGGGAATGCTTTAGCTTTTCACCTCCAGGGAGCTGAGTCTCAGCTCCTCAGGGGAGAGGGGATTAGCCTGAGATGGCAGGGATAGAGTCACCTCATTATTTGCATTGCACCTGAGCATAGCAGCATTCTTACAGTTTAGTTTAATTAACATTAAAAAGATTTCTTTATGTAGGAATCATAAATTCCCTTCACTATTGGCAAGAAGAAAAAATACAGATGAACGCTTGTCACCACACAGAGTCAATATATTAAAAATAATACTGCCTTCCAGTTTTAATGCTCTTAGTCTTTTATAAATTAATTATACCCATTGTCACATTAGATATTAATAATAGCTTGGTTAGGTGGGTAACAAACCCCTGTTTACTATCTGCAAAACAGGAATCCTAATACTTAAGATTACATGATAATTATGAGGATTTAATGATATAACATGGTAAAATGAGCAAGGATGCTAGACATACAGATAATTTATGGTAACACGAGCAGAAGTTCACACGCAAAAGCCTAAGCAATTGATTACCCCTGGGTGAGCCAGGGAACACTTTATAAAGGAAGTTATCATTGGGTAGAACCTTGAAGGAAAAGTAAAGGTTAACTAAATGGAGATAGAGGAGGGCAGATTTTCCAGCCAGAGATAAACCTTCAAACAGAAGTAGCCTTATATTTGTGTTGAAGGCAATGCTAAAATTCTCCAGTTAGACTGAGCATTTCCTTACAGCCCCAGCAAGCCTGGAGCAGTGATCAAAAGAAAAGAGAAGACAGAAACAGAAAAATCTGGAAAACAGCTAGTTATTTTCCACATATGCCTAAGTTCGGTGCTATTTTGTAGAATAAAATGTTAAATTAGTCTAGTGTCGCGAACCTCTGAAGTAGTGGGAGGAACCAAAATATAGTCAGTGCTTGGAATCTTTAAAGTTCTTAACTAGGCTGTGGTTTAGGGAACGGTGCGGTTTAGTGTGGTTGGAGCAAAGTAACTTGAGAAAGATTCCGCAGGAAATTCTACTTTTAAAGTAGAAATTCCTTTGTTTAACAAAGCAATCTGGGGAACCATCAAAGACTTTTAAGCAAAACAGCCACACGATCAGACCTACGTTTTGCCAAGTGACTCTGTTGAGAGTTGCGAGGGTGGACTTTAGCAAGAAAGGTCAAAGAGAACAAATTAAGCAGCTGCTCCAATGCCCAACATGAGAGAAGACATGAAGAATACGGAGGGGACAGATCGGGGAACATCTCAGTTAGAATGAACAGGATTTGGTCGCTGACTGATGTGATAATACAAGAAAACAAAGAGTAAGGAACAATGGCCTAATAACAATAAAAGTACCTAGAGTTGTTAGAGAAAAAGAAATTTTATAATAAAGTGAATGTGAGAGTCAATGATGTATCCTATAAATACTTATAAGTAGTGTTACTTTTGATAGTCAAACCAGGAATTCTGGATCCTAGAGGGGAGTAAGGGAGAACAACTGATCTGGTCCAGGTGGAGAAAGCTGGAGAGAGGGGTGTGGGAACAGGCCTTCTCTCCCAGGGAGTGCCACTGGCAGGGAGTTCTGGCAGTCCAAGACCCTAATATTCATTGTCATTCATTTGGCCAAAAATGAACTCTTCTTTTGTTGCAGACAGGAGTGGACAACAGTTCTCCTTGCCCCCCACCCCACAGGGATTTCTGTGTTGGGGCCAAGAAGGCCTGATCTTCAGTAGTTAAGGAAAGTTTCGGGGTAGAGGGAGGGCAGGGAAGGAAAGGGGAGACCCACTTTAGCCCAAGTGAGCCCAGTGACATTATTGGCTGCACGGCCGCTATTCTCCATACCTTGGGACAAGCACATGCTTTATTTGAAAATTCCAGGGGCACAGGCTCTGAGTTTCTCTTTTGTAGAAAACAAGAAGGCTGGGACCCCTGGATGTCAGATCCATGGGACAGGCCCAGACTTCTCAATCCTCAACCTTCTCAACACAGGTGATCTGCTCCTGTACCCACATGAGCCACTCACACCCATATCATTTGTCATGTTATCACCAATAACTGCACCTCTGATTCTTCCAAATCAGGCTCTGCACTTCTTCCAATCAAACCACTCGCTCTTCCACCTCATCAACGTTTCCTATCCTTTGATCCCCAATTTGCTCATTATCTACAACGGTGGTTCTTCACTTCTTTGATTTCACCATCATCGCATACTTACTGACTTGCAAACACATTTAATTCTGTCTCATCTCTCTCTTTTGGTCATAAAACCTAACTCTCTGCCTTCTCTATGCATGCTCATAGCTGAGGAGAACTGGAGAAATGACAGATCTGTGCTGACTGGGGACTAGTTTCAGCTGTAACTCGTGGAGAGGCAGTGGAGTGGAGTGGAGTGGAGTGGAGTGGAGTGGTCAAATGCCCAGACTCTGAGCAAGACGTCCCCGGGTTCAGATCCTGACTTCGGTATTAACTAAATTTGGTCAAAATCACTGATAAGAGTGATGGACTTAAAAAAAACAAATAGTCCTGAATCTCTCAAATTCTAATAGGCTGTAAATACTGTCCAGTGGTCATACTACATGTTCACAGTATAGCAAGTTATTTACTTCTCTCTCTTCCTCTTCCTACAGTCAGTCCATCTTCCCTCCCTGAAAACCTTGCCTCATATTTCCTTAAGGGGGAAAAAAACCCCAAGGAGATATGGCTTCTATCCCCACCTTCATTTTCATTAGTTGCTTCCATTCTACTGCAGACAGTTTAAAGACAGTAAGTCCCATCTTAAAACAAACAAACCTTAACCTTTATATTCATATTTCCACTTCTACGGTCATGAACATCTATTCTTAAATCACATTCCTCCTCAATCCTCCCAAAGAACACTGAACCTGGTCTCGTCAAAGTCATCAACAACTTGCACGTTGTCATTGGATCGGTGGCCACCTCTGTATCTTCCTCTTTCTGGGCTTCTTCAACAGCATGTGTTGCTTTTGGAAACACTTTCTCGTGTGGCTTCCCAGACATCTGAACTCTTACCTGCCTGGCTGCTTCTTTGCAGTCCCCTCGTCTCTGCTCAACCTCTAAAGGTTGAGCCATCCAGGTCTGTACCAAGCCCCTCCTTTTGCTGTTTCCTCACTTCCCAAAGGCAACCTCATCCAGGCCTCCAGCTTTAGATACCTCCTTGCGTGCTGATGATTCTCAAATCCACGTCAGGGTTAACAAAACCCTATGCGACTTGCCCTGACCTCCTTGAAAGAGCTCAGGAAGTATCCTTCTCCCACTCATCCACTTTGCTCCCCTCCCTGGCCTTCTGTTGGTTCTTGAAAGACTTCAAGGTGCAGCCTGGGCAACGTGGCAAAACCCTGACTCTACAAAAAATACAAAAATTAGCTGGGTGTGGTGGCATGTGCCTATAGTTCCAGCTACTCGGGAGGCTGAAGTGGGAGGATCACTTGAGTCCAGGAGGTGGAGGCTATAGTGGGCCGAGACCATGTCACTGCACTCCAGCCTGGGCAACAGAGTGAGACCCTGTGTCAAAAAAAAAAAAAAAAAAAAAAAAAAAAAAAAAAAAGAAGAAGACCTGAAGCTGGGTCTTGCTTTAGAGTTTTTGCAGCAGCTGTCTCCTCTGCCTGGATTTCTTTCTCCTTGTTCACACTCTTTTCACTAGGATCCTCAACCTAACTGTCATCTCCAAAAGCAGCTTTCTAAGACCATTCCTTCTACAGCAGCCACTTGGTCACACTCACATAATCTGATTTTAGTGATCTGAAAAGTGTTTATCAAGATTTGATTTCTTTGTGTGTTTATTGGCTATCTTTCCCCCACTAGATCTAAGAGCCATGAGAGCATGTTGTCAGTAACGGTTTAACCACTATATCCCCAGGATCCAGAAGAGCACCCCATGCACGCTCCTTGTATTCCACAGCTCAGTCTCATCACTTCCAGCCTGGATTGGATTGGTGGTGACCTGAAGAAAGCTGGGAAGCGTTGTTGGGATGAGCTTAGCTGGGCAGCCAAAAGAAGGAGGGTACAGACATATTTCATATATTTGAGTTCATAGATTGAAAAAAAAAAGGATATCTACAAAGCAGGCCCATATAAAATTCTCCAGTGTTTAAAAACCCTTATTGGTGACATCCATTCCATGTGTATTTATACTTTATTCTATCTCTTTAAAAAATATGCACTAAGGAAAGTATCTGACAAACTTATCCACTGTAAGGTATACACATGCCTGATACAACTTAACTCTCTTAGGGTTGGTTACAATTAATGAGGGCCAGAGAAACACATCTCTGTGGTGCCAGCCAATAACAAGCTGATGGACGCAGGAGGATTGTCTTCTGAAATTGCAATGAGGCAAGCCCAATTCTCTGTTGGGCAGTAATGTATGCATCACAAATCTTTAGGAGAGCTACTGGCAAAGAACGCAAGGTATTCAGAGCACCATGTAATCAGCATCTTCCCAGGGCAATCCAGACTTAACAACTGGGCAATAACCAGGAAAAAGTAAATGTAGCAAGTTTGAATTGTGGCTTAAAACAAACATGTTCGGGAAGAAAAAAAGAAATATAAAAAGATCTGTCATAGCTGGGAAAGAGTAATAAGGTAATAAAGGGGGAGATAATTATGACTCCAGAACACCATTTCCCATAGGGTGTTCTGCAGAGGCTAGTTCTACGGAGTGTTTCTGTGAGTCACTAAAAAAAAGTTTGGGAAATATTAGGTTAAATAAAGTTACATACTTGTTTTTTCTTCTGGATTTCTCAGAACCTTTAATATGTTAGTGTGCACTGAGACTCTGTAAGAGCAAGATATGGTATGCACCATTCGCTAAACTGATTTGACCACAAGACCTTTGTCCTTTTAAAAAAGCATTTTGAACAATACAAAGGTAGCCCAAGCTAGACCCTTCCAACTGTAGAGAACTGAATGGAACATCAGATTTAAATAATGGCATAAAATAAAAAGCATAGGGCTGGACGGCTGTAAAAAGGGGTGAGACAAAGATGATCAAGTCCTGATTAGCAACGAGTGAGTAAACAAGTGAAGGACTTCAGGACGTGCCACCCCAAAATATGCCACTTTGGCATACTGATTATTTAGAGCTGAAAGCAATGGAGAAATAGCAGATGCAGGAAAGCCTTTTGACCTCCCCCTTTCTACTTAAAAACACACCATTAAAATTTCCAGGAGAAAGGTGCCCTCCCTGTACCAGGAAGAAAAGAACATCTTTATCACCTGAGACTTGGAATTGACTCTGAAATAGATCTGTACAAACTTACTAAAATATCCCTTATCTTCCATTAGTTTCCCCCTCTATATTTTTAGTGACTTCCTCACAATTTACTGCCTATAATCCAAACTGCTTTGTCTTATCACTTCTTCACAAATTTATCATTTCTTCATCTAAAAGATATATAAGTTTACTACTTCTGGTCACTTCTTTGGGTCTTCATTGTCTTGTGAGGACTTTCATGTGCAAGTAAAATTATAATAAAATTTGTATGCTTCTCTTCTATTAATCTGTATTATATAAGTTTAATTCTTAGGCCTAGCCAGAGATTGTAAGAAGGTAGAGGAGAAATTTTTCCTCCTCTATACAAGAGTAGTAAAACTACAGTGAAACCCATACTGCATAATTTTCACTTTATTTTTATTTATTTATTTATTTAGAGATGCAGTTTCACTCTTGTTGCCCAGGCTGGCGTGCAATGGCATGATCTTGGCTCACTGCAACCTCCGCCTCCCAGGTTCAAGTGATTCTCCTGCTTCAGCCTCCCAAGTAGCTGGGATTACAGGCATGTGCCACCATGCCTGGCTAATTTTGTATTTTTAGTAGAGTTGGGGTTTCACCATGTTAGTCAGGCTGGTCTCGAACTCCCGACCCCGGTGATCCACCCGCCTCAGCCTCCCAAAGTGCTGGGATTACAGGCGTAAGCCACTGACCCTGGCAATTTTCACTTTAATTCATATGAAGAAAGTGGCACCACGAAGGGTTAATTCTCCTACAATGAATTTGAAGCAATACAAGCATCTGTCCCATGGGATACCTGCCTCCATTAGAAGCCAAGGAGAGCCTGTCTCACAACCAGTTCACATTTCAGTGTCACTTCAAACATTTATCATAAGCAAAACCTTGACAGCAGCATAAAATCGGCCCTTTTATTTTAAACAGTTGAAATAAATGGTGCAAAATAAATCATAAATGACTTGTCTTCTTACATTCTGATTTCTATTTTTTCTTCTTTGTGCAAAAGAACACATTATTTTAAGCAATAAAATAAACGAATACGTATTGACATTGCATTTTAATTGGGTGGAACATGTATTTTTACGGGAAAGCTTTTTGGGGAAGATCTTTCTTTTGGTATCACTTTATCGAGCTATAACTCATATATTTACAATTCTCTCATTTAAAGTATACAATTGAATGATTTTTAATATTGTCACATAGTTGTGACCACCACCGCAATCAATTTAGAACATTTCTATCACCTAGAAAATAAATTCTGTATCTTTTAGGGAAGGTCACTGCCCTGACCCTGTAATGCTTCTATCCCCGCAAGTCCCAGGTAACCACTAATCTATTTTCTATCTTTATAGATTTGCCTATTTTGGACATTTCATATAAATGGAATCATAGAATATGTGGTCCTTTGAAACTGTAAGATTTTAAACAGTTTGGTTAATGCTCATATAACCTTTGTTTTTTGAAGTCTATAGACAGCTTTGCTGCAGCACAAAATCTATTCCACACTATATCAGCAAAGTACTGCATTGTGCTGGCATTTGTCCAGCACACAACAGATCTAGTAATGTGATATTCTATTTCACAAAGTAGCATGATCATTTAAAGTTCACTCAATGGGCTGCAATTTATTTATTTATTTATTTATTTATTTATTTTATTTCTTTGAGACAGGGTCTCGCTCTGTCGCCCAGGCTGGCGTGCAGTGGCGCAATCTCGGCTCACTGCAAGCTCCGCCCTCCGGGTTCATGCCATTCTCCTGCCTCAGCCTCCTGAGTAGCTGGGACTACAGGCGCCCGCCAACACGCCCGGCTAATTTTTTTTTGTATTTTTAGTAGAGACAGGGTTTCACTGTGTTAGCCAGGATGGTCTCGATCTCCTGACCTCGTGATCCGCCGGCCGCGGCCTCCGAAAGTGCTGGGATTACAGGCATGAGCCACCTCGCCCGGGCTGCTAGTTAATTTTTATTAGTAAAAATGTGACTGTCTGACCTGGGTATTTTAACCTGGATTTACTGATTTGTTTTGGAATAAGTTTTGCAGATATAAAATACTATAATCTTTTCTCTTTTCTATAATCTACCCTGAAATCAAGAACCATTGGTCATTTCCCAAAGTAGATTGGTTATCTCTTGCTTACTAGCTTGACTGTTCTTTCTCTTTCTCTGTTTAAAATTCAAAGATGCAAAACACCATAATGAATGATGGCATGACAATTTTCTTCTATGATAATATCTTCTTATAACTATGAATATCCATGGTGCCCTGATACCACAATTACTACAATAAAAGAATTCATTATATGGAAAAAGGAAATATTGGTAATACACTAAACAGATGTGAAATCTAGATGGTGCAATAATGGTGAAGGCTGGATTCACAAATATTCCAGAAGTAGTTCAATCTCTGGTAAATATTGTTTCATCTCACCTTCATAGACTTACCTGTGACCTGGCTGCAAAGAGAGGCCTAACCCAAGAGATAAGCAGCAGCGACAATATAAAAACCATTGATTATAAGTAATTTTAGTTCCCATCACCATGGGAACACACTACATATAGACTTTTATTGAGAAGAGGTGCTGTGAAAGGGAAAGAAGTGAGCAAAAATGGAGATAATGGTTTGCATTAAGGTAATGTGTTAAAGTGGAATTATACTCAAATAAAGAATGAAAATATATAGGGATGAGAAAGGAGAAGGTATTCAAGACAGCAAAATGCTAGATGAGCATCATCCGAAAGGAAAGGTACAGAAAGGGGGGAATTAATATAGTTTACAGCTTGATTTGCAAATCAAGGGACTAAAAGTTAATCCCTCAAGGGACTGAGAGATATTAGCAATAGCATTTTTGTTTATTCTTTGGGTATGTGTGTATAGCAGAGATCATTCTGATCCAGAGTCTTTGAAGCTTTAACAGGGTACCTGGACGGATTGACTTAGCTGTTTGTTTTTGTTGCTATAAAACACCTTTACCATCCAGAAAATAAAGGTTAGCCCAACTATTGGTAATGAAAAAGAAAGCTTAAAATAATCGTGAATATAGTTACCCAAATGAAGTCTTTGATATATGTAACAGGATAAAAAATAATAGCTTCAGAGAAGTAACTGTTACTGTTTGTTTTTGTTTTTTAAGACAGAGTCTTGCTCTGTTGCCCAGGCTGGAGTGCAGTGGCATGATCTCAGCTCACTGCAACCCCCACCTCCCCGGTTCAAGCAATTTTCCTGTCTCAGCCTCCCGAGTAGCTGGGATTACAGGTGCGTGCCACCATGCCCAACTAATTTTTCTATTTTTAGTAGACATGGGGTTTCAACAGATTGGCCAGGCTGGTCTTGAACTCCTGGCCTCAAGTGATCCACCTCCCTCGGCCTCCCAAAGTGCTGGGATTACAGGAGTGAGCCACCGTGCCTGGCCACAGTTACCGTTTTATAAAGAGGTGAGTGGTAAACAGTTCTGGACATGGACCTGGGTTCATATATTGACTTACACCAAAACATTTTTGGGACTGTTAGTTTTCTTCTAAAAGTAGGGGGGGACGTCCAGAGTTGTCAGAAAAAATGAGAAAGAATGTTTGAAAGCACTTTGTAAATAGTAATGAGGTACCCTCTTGAATAAGAGGTCATTTTTTTACCTATTGCTTACTATGCTCACTACCTGGATCCAATATACCCATGTAACAATCCTACATATGTACCCCCATATCTAAAATAAAAGCTGAAATATTTTTAGAAAAGAGGCAGTTTTTTAAAAAATCACTTAAAATCTTCTGTAGGAAATAACTGCATTGGAGAATGCTCCTTCAGAACTTTCTTTAGCATCAATAGCCATTTGAAGATTCTTTTTTTTTTCTTTTTTGCAGTTGCAAGATTTAATAGAGTGAAACAGTGAAAACAGAGCTCCCATACAAAGGGAGGGGACCCAAAGGGGGTTGCCGTTGCCAGCTCGAATGCCTGGGTTTATATCCTGATCCTTGTCCCTCCCGCTGTGCTCTCAGGCAATAGATGATTGGCTATTTCTGTACCTCCTATTTTTGCCTAATTAGCATTTTAGTGAACTCTCTGGTTGGGTGTGAGCTAAGTTGCAAGCCCCGTGTTTAAAGGTGGATGCGGTCACCTTCCCAGCTAGGCTTAGGGATTCTTAGTCGGCCTAGGAAATCCAGCTAGTCCTGTCTCTCAGTCCCCTCTCTCAACAGGAAAACCCAAGTGCTGTTGGGGAGGTTGGCCAATGACTGCTCTAACAGC